>NC_000002.12:188701739-189004769 GCF_000001405.40 Homo sapiens
GAGTATTCCAATTTGCTTTGAACAGACTTAGAATAAAAATTCTACATTACTTTTTAGTCATGCTCCAGGGCAAGAGATTTATTATAAGAATTTCCTTATTGTTTACAATTTTGATAATTTGTTATAAAAGCTGATAACTATACACATTTTTATAAAAGTTACAAAGCAGTACTTCTATTTGAAATCTCATCTAGTGACTATCCTCCTGAAAAAGGCTCACTTCAACTTTGCGTTGATATGTAATAGTCTGAGTCATCCAAATAGTGACTTGTGGACAAGATAATCTCATACTATGGAGGAAATACCATTTTAAGTATAAAGGAAGTTGTTTGGAATGGTTTTATTAATAAGTGTCTGACTGGGGCTTTACGTTATGACAAACCACAGCTTTAAAAAACATGAAAGAGCCTAAACAAAAGAGAGAAGACACACATATGATTTTTTTCTTTTTGACTCAAACCTAGGCATTGTATTGATGAAAAAACTTGGTTACTTCTTCACCACAATGAGTGAATTCCTCTTATCAATGGCAATCATTTAATAATATTTCCTCACATGTAGCAGAATGATGATAATACTCTGTATGCTGGAAGTTGTAATCCCTGAAAGCACAGTGCCACATCCCAGGCATTGGAAAGAAAATTGCTAATAAACTGAATGTTGGTAATTGTAGTTTTTAATCTTCTCTATATAGTCAATCCATCAGAGTACCAAATATCAGGAGGGAGAGATTAGAAATTCAAAAGTGGTATAATAAATAAATGCTTGTTAAACATTAGAAATTTAGCTGAAAGTTCTTTAACATTCTCTTCAACTTATCCTGAGAAAGAAATTTGATCATTACACAAATGAAGTAACAAAGTCAATAATTATAGTGATACCCTGTCTGTGGGCACAGAGTTTAGCTCCCTGAATGAGATGAGAAATGAGATTGATAAGGAAGAATTATACAAGACCTTGGAAATTAATTTAAAAAATACTGGGGTTAGCATATAAATTAGACATATTAAGTAGCAAAATTAATAGTTAATAAAATCAATTCAGTGATATGGAAAAATATCTTCAAGGAATTGAGTTAGAAGCAGAAAAATATTTAGATATAAAATATGAAAGATGAAAAATATAGAGAAGTTTGAGATGCAATATGAAAAGTGATTTACTAAAATAAAATGCATGTACTAATGGAATAAAAACAGGGATATTAAAAAGAAGGATTGTTAAATTTCAGATAAACTACAAGATAGCCATTAACACCCAGACACAACGTAACAGAATTTTTAATTACAAAGAAAACAAGGTGATGGATCTTCCCTGATCTAAGGAAGCTGAATCCTAAGTAGGAAGAGAGGAAAGCTAATAGGCAATCAGATTTAAAACTCAGATTCCACTCACAAAACATCACTAATCAGTAATAATGGAGGTGTTGGAAAAAATGATCACTTCTTCCCACATTTGGGAAACCAGTTGACTGCTTCTATTCCACCTGGTACATTGAAGATTTACTTTTCTAGAAATCGTAAAACCCAGAATATCTGGACTGGAGGCCATAAGACATGTTTATGAGCAGAGGTATATATGCTGTGCTGAAATAGAGAAATACATTGAATGTTTATCTAGATTAATGAGTTTTCCCCCACCCTATTCTTATAATTCATCTACCAGTACACTCTCAGGTAGGTCCAGAATATATCCAGAAGATACTTTTATAGAACCTAAGAGGACATAACTTAAGATATGGTTTTGTGGGCTAATCCATTGAAACTACAAACCAAAAAGAACTGTACTGTGTCATAATCTTAAATATGAACAAATCATCATACATTTTACATAAAAGGCAGAAATCCAAATCAACAATAAAAAAACTGAAAAAACAGAGTCTAAGAAAGGAGAAGATAACTTTAAATCAATAATCTTTCTATATTTTTACGTCTGAAAAATATCTGAATTTTAACTTTGTGCTTTTAGATAAAAATGATATATCTATGAAAGAAAAATAAAATGCTTTAAAACAATAATCTGAAGAATAGAAAAGTTCATGGACATTACTAATAAAAGAAAAATAACTGTCAGAGAGTTGGAAGAGAAAATTGGGAACATCTCTTTTAAAGCAGAGGAAAATTACAAAATGATGAAAAATAAGATATAAAATGTGAGGATATCAGTGGCCCAGTTTACAAAGTTCAACATAGGAGTGAAAGTAGGAGTTTACATATAAGAGAACAGAGGGCAGAACACCTTACAATTTCAACATCTCCCAGTCACAAAGACATAAATTTGAAGAGGCTGGAGGAATTCTGAACATAATGAATTAAAAGCAAGCTCGAACTATTAAAAACAAGCTCAAAGTAAGTTACATTATTGTGAAATTTCAGAAGACCAGTGACAAAAAGGAGACCCTAAAAACTTCCAGGAGAGGGGAAAATGGTTACAGACGAGTCCAGAGATTGAATGACAACAGGATTCCTAACAGCACCCTGATAGCTAAAAGAGCTGTATCTTATACATCGTTGTGGAGGTTGTGTGGGAAGTTTTTCAACCTACAATCTAAAATTAGCTGAATGATCAGCCATGTTAGAAAGTAAAGTACATATAAATGCAACATACAAGGTCTCTAAATATTTGTCTTTTTTATATCCATTCTCAGGAAGCCTTTGGAGAATATTCTCCACAAACTGAAATGAGTAAATCAAATAGAATTACATAGGATACAGGAAAAACAGCATATTCAGCAAAAGGGAGAGGTAAAGAGAACCTCCCAAATTAGGAGCAATGGAGTTGTCAGTATGACAGCTTATACTGAGCATAGAGGGAAAACAACCTAGAATAGAATACATCAAAAGGCTATAGGAGGAATTTATTTCAGAAGATTGAATAGAATGCTTGATTTATTTTGATGTATTGAGACAGATTTTTAAATATTGATAAGAAATTTAGGACTGAAATCATAGAAAATATAGATAAAATTAAACTGAAAACTATAATATATATAATTATGTAATCATAGTACATGCTTAATGATAATGTACTGAACTATCTATTGAGCTAATCGTAAGTACAATTTAACAACACTGGGAAAAAGAGTACTTAGGAAAGATGGGGAAGCAGAAGAAAGTGAAAGAGAACCAAATTTCTGTCTTTCATAGTGATAAATAAATGATATTTACAATTGAAAGTCAAAAACAAAAACAATGTTATTTATAGTTATGGAAGCTATATAACATTTTGCATTATGGATATTGTTTCTGAAGAAGTATAAATAGATGAGAAATGGTTTTCATTTCTACTCTTTGTTAAAAACCTTGAAAAATATTTTCACTTTCAAAACATGTAAGCTACATTTAAATTTAATAATAATAATTGAAGAAAATAGCCTTAAAATTCCTTGTAATAATAAGTGCCATTAGAATGGTACATACGGGAAATTTAAGAAAAATTTGTGAATCTAAACATTATTATACCCAGAATCTTATCTGGGTTTTAAATTTTCTTTTCATCTGTAAGGATAACAGACTTTCTCAGATTTAGAAAGGATAAAAAAATATATTCATTGGTACATAATAAGACTAAACAAGCATTCATATGGTTCTCATTTACCACTCTCAGTTGCCCCAGGACACCCAGGCCTAAGGACTTTCCTGAATTTATTCTTGAAAAAAATAGAACAAAGGTCAATTACGTAGAGATTTCTGGGGCCTTTGCTAACAGGGCTTTAGATTATTTATGGGTTATATCTTGTAGGCCCAAAAACAGAAATGAGCACAGTATGCTTAAAGAACAGAAAGAAGGCATGCATAATTTGCAGTGAACTGTTAGGAGAACTATATCAAGTTCACACGGAAGGAAGAGGCCAGATCATTTAAGCTGGGTATGGAGTTTGAATTATATTACACGTGAGATGAGGAGACGTTGAAGGCTTTTAAGCAGAAAAATAAGAAATCCGATTTAAAATGCTCACACACTGTAGTGTGGGTAATTCGTTTGTTGAGGAAGGAGGAAGTCCGGGAGGATAATTAGCAGTCAAGAGCAAAAGCACGGAGACAAGTTAGGTGACTATAGTATAGTTCAGTCGAAGATGATGATAACTTGGAGGAGGATGTGGACATGGAGAGAAGTGAACTGATACCTCTTTTCAGTGTTCACTGTTCATGTAGAGCAGGGTTCCCCACCACCTATCAGTCTGTGGTCTGTTAGGAACTGGGCTGCTCAGCAGTAGGAGAGTGGCAGGAGAACAGGCAAAGCTTCACCTGTATTTAGTCACACTCCATCACTCGCATTAATTCCTGAGCTCCGTCTCTTTTCAGATCAGCCACAGCATTAGGTGTTTTTCTTTTTTCTTTTCTTTTTTTTTTTTTTTTAACAGAGTCTCACTCTGTCTCCAGCCTAGAGTGCAGTGGCACCATCTTGGCTCATTGCAACCTCCACCTACCAGGTTCAAGCAGTTCTCCTGACTCAACCTCCCAAGTAACTGGGACTACAGGCATGTGCCACCACACCCAGCTAATTTTTGTATTTTTAGTACAGACGAGGTTTCACCATGTTGGCCAGGATGGTCTCGATCTCTTGACCTCGGGATCCGTCCACTTCAGCCTCCCAAAGTGCTGGAATTACAAGCGTGAGCCACCACACCTGGCCAGCATTAGGTTCTTAAGCAGCACAAACCCTATTGTGAACTGCACACATAAGGGATCTAGGTCGTACACTCCTTATGAGAATCTAATGCCTGATGATCTGTCACTGTCTCTCCTTACACCAGATGGAACCATCTAGTTGCAGGAAAACAAGCTCAGGGCTCCCACTGATTCTACATTACTGTGAGTTGTATAATTATTTCATTATCTTACAATGTAATAATAATAGCAATAAAGTGCACAATAAATGAAATGTGCTTGTATCATCCTGAAATCATCCCACCCACCCCAGTCTCTGAAAAAATTGTCTTCCACAAAACCAGTCCCTGGTGCCACAAAGGTTGGGGACCATTGATATAGAGGATTTTGTGATGGATGCTATCTGGGAAATAAGAGGAGTCAAGGATAACTCCCCATAATAGGAGAAACATTAGAGAATGTGGAATCACACAAATAAAAAAAAAAGTTTTGAAGAAGTAGAAATGATCAATTTTCAATTGCTGCTGAGAGATCAAACACAGTAAGGACTAAAAGCTGACCACTGAATTTGAAAATATAGAGCAGATTGGCAGCCAAGGTAAGACAAGTTTTGGAGGAGTGGTGGAAATGGAAGCATAATTGAATTGAGCTAATGAGAGCTGGAAAGGCATAGAAGTGGATAGGGTGATTATAAGCAACTCAGTTTAGTTGAGAAGAGATATAGGCAGCAAATGCATTTTCTAGATTTTCATGAATTTTTTTGACTGTCCATACAGTATTATTTTCATCTGATATAGTTTGACTGTGTACCAAATCTCATCTTGAATTATAGCTCCCATAATTCCCTTGGGAGGTCGTGGGAGGAACCTGGTGAGAGGTAATTGAATCAGGGGGCAGGTCTTTCCCATGCTTTTCTCATGATAGTGAATAAGTCTCATGAGATCTTATGGCTTTATAAAGGGGAGTTCCCCTACAGAAGCTCTCGCACCTGGTGCCATGTAAGATGTTCCTTTGCTCTTCCTTCATCTTCTACCCTGATTGTGAGGCCTCCCCAGTGATGTGGAACTGTGAGTCCATTAAACCTCTTTCCTTTAAAAATTACCCAGTCTTGGGTATGTCTTTATTAGCAGCATGAGAACGGACTAATACATTGCCCATGAAAAGTTTTATTTTTTACACATGTTAAGTATGTACTTTCTATTCTGTACTCTCGATCTGTCTATCCCTGTGCCAATATAGATTTAATTATGGTAAGTGTATATGTTTTATCTAATAGAGCTTGTTGAAAATATCCCTGCTTATACTTGACATGTTTAGTTACATATAAAATTTTTAAGTCAACCAAAGATCACCCACCAAAAAATTGTATTTTAATTTCAACATAATGATATAGAATTCTATATCATTTATATAGATTAATTTGATATCTTTAAACTTTTAAGTGCATGTATGAAGGAACGAGTGCATACCTTCTAACTTGCTTCCTTTTGATGCCCTTTGTTACCTTATTCTTATCAACAATGATGGGTAGGGACTCACATCCTTGCTTTCTGTTGAAGACCTCTATTTAAGAAGGCTTCAATGCCAAAGTGCAATGTTTGAGACCATTTTTGAGGAGTTTTTTCTGAAAACTTTATCCAATGGAGGACACACATTGGTGCTAAATCTGAGACTAAAAGTAGATGGATAGACAAATGTATTTTATATTTATTGCGTATGGCAATTTTCATACAGGTAGCACATGTACTATTTTACTTAGCATAACCTTGAGCTATCTCTTTCTAACCAAAATGTAAGTATCCTTGGTTAAGCATAATTTTTTAGAAGAGTATAAGCATCTTAGGTCTTACTTTACTGCCCTCAGACAGCATGGATGGGTGGGGAAGAAGGAAGTCTTTGTGATTCAATATTATCTTACTATCTTTTGTGAACTGTCAGAACTTTTACTGGGTCACTTTATTTAATTCAGACACTTGTAAAAGTTGCTTTTTGTTTTCTTAATTAGCCACTTTTACACAAAATCATGTGGTCTGTCATGTATTTTTTTAATTCCAACTTTTATTTTAGATACAGGGGATACATGTGCAGGTTTGTTGCATGGGTAAATTATGTGATGCTGAGGTTTGGAGGATGGATCCTGTCACCCAGGTAGTGAATATAATACCCAATAGGTAATTTTTTAACCCATGCTCCCCTCCTCCTCGCTCTGGTAGTCCACAGTACCTACTGCTGCCATGTTTGTGTCCATATGTCCTCAATATTTAGCACCCTCGTATAAGTGAGATCATGTGGCATTTGGTTTTCTGTTCCTGCATTAATTTGCTTAAGATTATGTTCTCCAGCTGTATCCATGTGGCCACACACACACACACCATGATTTTCTTCTTTTTTATGACTGTGTCATATTCCATAGTATATATGTACCACATTTTCTTAATCCAATCTACTATTGATGAGCATCTAGGTATATTCCATGTCTTTGCTACTGTGAATAACACAGTGAAGAATATACAAGTGCATGTGTTTTTTGGTAGAATGATTTATATTCCTTTGGATATATGCCCAGTAATGGGATTACTTGGTAGAATGGTAGCTCTGTTTTAAGTTCCTTGAGAAACCTCCAAACTGCTTTCCACAATGGCTGACCTAATTTACATTCCCACCAACAGTGTATAAGCATTCCCTTTTCTATGCAGCCTCCCCAGAATCTGTTGTTTTTCGACTTTTTAATAATAGCCATTCTGACTGGTGTGAGATAGTATCTCACTGTAGTTTTGACTTGCATTTCTCTTATAATTAGTGATGATGAACTTTTTTAATATATTTTTTGGCCACTTCTATATCTTCTTTTGAGAAGTTTCTGTTCATGTTTTTTTTGCCCATTTTTAATGGGGTTATTTGTTTTTTTGTTTGTTGGTTTAAGTTCCTTATAGATTCTGTATATTGGACCTTTGTCAGATGCATAGTTTGCCAATATTTTCTACCACTCTGTAGGTTGTCTGTTTTCTTTGTTGATACTTTCTTTTGCTGTGCAGAAGCTCTTTACTTTAATGAGACCCCATTTGTCATCTTTAGTTTTTGTTACAATTACCTTTGAGGACTTAGCCAAAAACTCTTTACCAAGGTTGATATTGAGAACGGTATTTTTGACATTTCATTTTAGGATTTTTATGGTTTATGGTGTCACATATATGGTGAAAGATAAGGGTCCGTGTGAACAATGTGTAAAATAAATTTAAAAAATAATCCCATTTACAGTAGTCACCCAGAAAATTAAATACCTAGGAATTAACCAAAGAAGTGAAAGATCTCTATAATGAAAA
This sequence comes from Homo sapiens, assembly GCF_000001405.40. Classification (NCBI taxonomy): domain Eukaryota; kingdom Metazoa; phylum Chordata; class Mammalia; order Primates; family Hominidae; genus Homo; species Homo sapiens. Next base: position 188,709,670 of record NC_000002.12, read on the forward strand.
CTATATAAAAGAAATTGAAGAGGACAACAAAAAATGGAAAAATATTTCATGTTTATGTATCAGAATAATTAATATTGTTAAAATGTCCATCCTACCCAAAACAATTTACAGATTCAATGCAATCCCTATAAAAATACCAATGACACTCTTCACAGAAATGGAAAAAAACAATCCTAAGATTTATATGGAACCACAAAAGACCAAGAATAGCCTATCCAAAGGCATTCTAAGCAAAAAGAACCAAACTGGAGGAATCACATTACCTCACTTCAAAATGTACTACAGAGCTATAGTAACCAAAACAGCATGGTACTGGCATAAAAACAAACATGTAGACCAATGGAACAGAATAGAGAACCCAAAAACAAATCTGCACACCTGCAGTGATCTCATTTTCAACAAAAGTGCCAAGACCATACACTGGAGGAAAGATAATATCTTCAATAAATGGTGGTGGGGAAACTGAATATTCATATGCAGAAGTATGAAACTAGACCCCTATCTCTCACCATATACAGAAATCATATCAAAATGGGTTAAAGATTTAAATCTAAGACCACAAACTATGAAACTACTACAAGAAAACATTGGGGAAAATCTCCAGAACACTTGCCTGGGCAAAAATTTATTAAGCAATACCCTACAAGCACAGGCCACCAAAGAAAAATGGACAAATGGGATTACATCAAGTTAAAAAACATCTGCACAATAAAGGAAACAAACAACAAAGCAAAAAGACAACCCACAGAATGGAAGAAAATATTTGCAAACTCTCATCTGACAAAGGATTAATAACCTGAATATATAAGGAGCTCATACATGTTTATTAGGAAAAAAAATCTAATAATTGATTAAAATTATGGGCAAAAGATTTGAATGGACATTTCTCGAAAGAAGATATACAAATGGCAAACAGGCATATGAAAAGGAGCTCAACATCATTAATCATCAGATAAATACAAATCAAAACTACAATGTGACATCATCTCACCCCAGTTAAAATGGTTTATATTTAAAAGACAGGCAATAACAAATGCTGGCAAGGATGTGGAGAAAAGGAAACCCTTGTACACTGTTGGTTGGAATGTAGATTAATACAACCACTATGAAGAACAGTTTAGAGGTTCCTCAAAAAACTAAAAATTGAGCTACCATATGATCTAGCAATCACACTGCTGGATATTTACCCAAAAGTAAGGAAATCAGTATATCAAAGAGATAGCTACACTCCTATGTTTGTTGCAGCACTGTTTATAGTAGCTAAGATTTGGAAGCAACCTAAGTGTCCATCAATGGATAAATGAATAAAGAAAATGTGGTACATATATATAATTCAGCCATTAGTACTACTGAGCCATAAAAAATAATGAATACTATTCAGCTGTTACGGGACGTCAGGGACCCCAAATGGACGGACCGGCTGAAGCCTTGGCAGAAGAACATAAATTGTGAAGATTTCATGGACATTTATTAGTTCCCCAAATTAATACTTTTATAATTTCTTATGCCTGTCTTTACTGCAATCTCTGAACATAAATTGTGAAGATTTCATGGACATTTATCACTTCCCCAATCAATATTCTTGTGATTTCCTATGCCTGTCTTTACCTTATCTCTTAATCCCATCATCTTCGTAAGCTGAGGATGTATGTCACCTCAGGACCCTGTGATGATTGCATTAAATGCACAAATTGTTTAAACAATATGAAATCTGGGCACCTTGAAAAAAGAACAGGATAACAGCGATGTTCAGGGAACAAGGGAGATAACCATTAGGTCTGGCTGCCTGAGAGCCAGGCGGAACAGAGCCATATTTCTCTTCTTTCAAAAGCAAATAGGAGAAATATCACTTAATTCTTTTTCTCAGCAAGAAACAGCCCTGAGAAAGAGAATGTGTTCCTAGCGGTAGGTCTCTGAAATGGCCGCTCTGGGAAAGTCTGTCTTTTACGGTTGTAGATAAGGGATGAAATAAGCCCTGGTCTCCCGTAGCGCTCCCAGGCTTATTAGGACGAGGAAATTCCTGCCTAATAAATTTTGGTCAGACCAGTTGTCTGCTCTCAAACCCTGTCTCCTGATAAAATGTTATTAATGATAATGTGTGCCCGAAATTTCATTAGCAATTTTAATTTCTCCCTGGTCCTGTGATTTCACCCTGCCTCCATTTGCCTTGTGATATCTTATTACCTTGTGAAGCATGTGATCTCTGTGACCCACACCCTATTTTTACACTCCCTCCCCTTTGAAAATCACTAATAAAAACTTGCTGTTTTTGCGGCTTGGGGGGCATCACAGAACCTGCCGGCACATGATGTCTTCCCTGGACACCCAGCTTTAAAATTTCTCTCTTTTGTACTCTTTCCCTTTATTTCTGAGACCGGCCGACACTTAGGGAAATAGAAAAGAACCTATGTGAAATGATGTTGAATTATCAGGGGCGGGGGTCCTGAAAAAACTAAAAATTGAGTCCATCAATGGATAAATGAATAAAGAAAATGTGGTATATATATTTAATTCAGCCATTAGTACTATTGAGCCATAAAAAATAATGAGTACTATTCAGCCATGAAAAAATAATGAGATCCATATTTGTAACAACATGGATGGAACTAGAAGTCATTACATTAAGTGAAATAAGCCAGGCAAAAAAGAGAAACATTGCATGTTCTCACTTATTTATGGGCTCTAAAAATCAAAACAATTGAACTCATGGACATAGAGAGTAGAAAGATGGTTTGCAGAGGCTGGGAAGCGTAGTGGGGAGCTGATGGGGAGGGAGGAGCCAGAGATGGTTAATGGGTACAAAAAAATAGAAAGAATGAATAAGACCTACTATTTGATAGCACAACAGTGTGACTGTAATCAATAATAACTTAATTATAATTGAACAATGAGATCACATGGACACATGAAGGGGAATATCACACTCTGGGGACTGTGGTGGGGTGGGGGGAGGGGGGAGGGATAGCATTGGGAGATATACCTAAGGCTAGATGACGAGTTAGTGGGTGCAGCACACCAGCATGGCACATGTATACATATGTAACTAACCTGCACAATGTGCACATGTACCCTAAAACTTAAAGTATAATAAAAAAAATAAAAATTAAAATTAAAATAAAAATAACTTAGAGTGTAATTGGATTGTTTGTATCTCAAAGGATGAATGCTTGAGGGGATAAATACCCCATTCTCCATAATGTGCTTATTTCATATCCCAGGCTTGTATCAAAACTTCTCATGTGCCCCATATATATATATATATGTGTGTGTGTGTGTGTGTATGTGTGTGTGTGCGTACTGTGTACCCACAAAACTTAAAATATAAACCATAAATAAATAAAAAGAAAAGGAAGGTAAGGGTTCAGCTTCATTCTTCTGCATAAGGCTAGCCAGTTATCCCAGCCCCATTTATTGAATAGAAGGTCCCTTCCCCAGTGCTTGTTTTTGTTGGCCTTGTAGAAAATCTGATGGTTGTAAGTGTATGGCTTTATTTCTGAATTTTGTATTCTGTTCCATTGGTTTATGTGTCTGTTTTTGTACCAATATCATGTTGTTTTCATTACTATAGTATTGTAGTATTGTTTGAAGTTGGGTAGTGTGATGCCACTGGCTTTGTTCCTTTTTCCATTTTTTTTCAAATGCTGCTTGTGCTTCTGCTTAGTTTTACATTGTCTTCACAAAAAACTTATGCCTTTATTATTATTCCTCTAGTTATTGATTGATGCTGTCATGGCTCCAATAAATGGAACACTGCACTCCCCTTTATTTTCTGATAAGTAGTGTTTGAAAGTAGAAAAAAACAACCACTGATGGTTAACTAGTGGTTTTACAGAATAGTCTGGCCATTTCTAATTGTTTTTCAATAGTATTTGGGGAGATTGTAGATGTAAAATAACATAATCTAGAGATGATACATTTGACATTATTATTTGACATTTTCTCCATGATACATTTGACATTATTATTTGACATTTTCTCCTTCCATCCTACCTTCTGCCTCAAATCAATTATCTTCTGTCTTGGGTATATACTTAAAATGTAATATAGTTATGACTTGCTGATCCTCCTATATTTTGTGTCTGAATATTTTCCCCATAGATTAAAAAAATTAGAATAATAATACATTCACAGAAGAAATTTAAAAGTTAGTAAAAATAATTCCCATACACCCCACATGCAGTTTTTTTATTATTAACATCATACATTTGTCTAGAGCATTTGTCACACTACTATTAACCACGGTCTACACATTATTTAGATTTTCTTATTTTACCCAATGTCCTTTTCCTGTTCCAGGATCCCATCCAGGAGCCTACACTATATTGAATAATCAGATCTTCTTTGGGCTTTGGCTGTAAAAGTTTCTCAAGCTGTCCTTATTTTTATAACTATGAGAGTTTTGAGGAGAACTGGTTAGGTATTTTATAGAATGTTCTTCTGCTGAGATGCTTTGAATTTTTTGTATCCCTATTAAATTACAGTTGTAAGTTTTGAGGAAGAAGATCTCACAGATAAAATGCCACTGTCATCACATCATATCAAGAACACATAAAATCAACTTATCAAGTTTTGGATTTTAGTCATTCTAACATGTGTGCAGTGGTGTCTCATTATTGTTTTCGTTTGTAATTCCCTGATGAAAAAAGATATTGGTCATCTTTCCAATATGCTTATTTGATATATGTATAACTTGTTTGGTGAGATCCCTTTATAAATCTTTTGTCTATTTAAAATTGGGTTGTTTTATTATTATTGAATTTTAAGAGTTCTTTGTATATTTTAGATATAAGTATTTTATCAGATACGTTTTTCAAATAACTTCTCTCATTTTGTTGTTTGTATTTTCATTTTCTTAAAAGTAGATTTTGTTTAACAGAATTTTTTAATTTTAATAAAGTCCATCCTATTTTTTATTGTTGTTCATGGTCATGTTTTTGGTATGACATGCAAACATTTATTATCACATCCAAACTAACAAAGATTTTCTCCTTGTTTTCTGCTAGAATTTTTATAGCATTGTATTTACACTTAATTTTGTCATCCATTTTGAATTAATTTTTGTGAAAAGTATAAGTCCTGTGCCTAGACTCAATTTTTGAAATGGATATCCAATTTTTTCAGCACAATTTATTGAAAACATTAACCTCTCTTTGTTGAATTGTTTTTGTGTTTTTGTCAAAGATCAGTTAATTGCATTTATGCAGGTCTGATCCATTGATTAATGTGTCTACTTTTTACCAAGATCACACTATTTTGATTACTGTAGCTTTACAGAAAGCCTTGAAATTAGGTAATGAGGCTGGGCGCAGTGGCTAACGTCTGTAATCCCAGCACTTTGGGAGGCTGAGGTGGGCAGATAACAAGGTCAGGAGATCGAGACCATCCTAGCTAACACGATGAAACCCTGTCTCTACTAAAAATACAAAAAAAAATTAGCCAGGAGTGGTGGCGGGTGCCTGTAGTCCCAGCTACTCGGGAGGCTGAGGCAGGAGAATGGCGTGAACCTGGGAGGCGGAGCTTGCAGTGAGCCGAGATTGAGCCACTGCACTCCATCCTGGAAGGCAGAACAAGACTCCGTCTCAAAACAAACAAACAAAAAACAAATTAGGTAATGAGTTCCCCACCTTTTTCTTTTTTAGAATTGTGCTATTTGAGGTTTTTTGCCTTTATAAATACACCTTGGAATGTTGGTTGATAGCTACAATATAGTTTGCTAAAATTTTGATTGTATTGATGAAGATGAATGTATATGTAGATCAAGTTGGGAGAAATTAACATCTTAACAAATTGGGTTTTCCAATTCATGAACATGGAATATCTTTCTACAGGCTGAATATTCATTATTTAAAATGCTTAGGACCAGAAATCTTTCAAATTTTGGATATTTCAGAATTTTGGAATATTTGCATATTCATAGATATCTTAGGAATGATATCCAAGTCTAAACATAAAATCCATTTATCTTTCATATATACCCCATACTCATAGCCTAAAGGTAATTTTATACAATATTTTAAATAATTTCTCTTTTTTTATTATACTTTAAGTTTTAGGGTACATGTGCACATTGTGCAGGTTAGTTACATATGTATACATGTGCCATGCTGGTGTGCTGCACCCACTAACTCGTCATCTATCATTAGGTGTATCTCCCGATGCTATCCCTCCCTCCTCCCCCCACCCCACAACAGTCCCCAGAGTGTGATATTCCCCTTCCTGTGTCCATGTGATCTCATTGTTCAGTTCCCACCTATGAGTGAGAATATGTGGTGTTTGGTTTTTTGTTCTTGCGATAGTTTACTGAGAATGATGATTACCAATTTCATCCATGTCCCTACAAAGGACATGAACTCATCATTTTTTATGGCTGCATAGTATTCCATGGTGTATATGTGCCACATTTTCTTAATCCAGTCTATCATTGTTGGACATTTGGGTTAGTTCCAAGTCTTTGCTATTGTGAATAATGCTGCAATAAACATACGTGTGCATGTGTCTTTATAGCAGCATGATTTATAATCCTTTGGGTATATACCCAGTAATGGGATGGCTGGGTCAAATGGTATTTCCAGTTCTAGATCCCTGAGGAATCGCCACACTGACTTCCACAATGGTTGAACTAGTTTACAGTCCCACCAACAGTGTAAAAGTGTTCCTATTTCTCCACATCCTCTCCAGCACCTGTTGTTTCCTGACTTTTTAATGATTGCCATTCTAACTGGTGTGAGATGGTATCTCATTGTGGTTTTGATTTGCATTTCTCTGATGGCCAGTGATGATGAGCATTTTTTCATGTGTTTTTTGGCTGCATAAATGTCTTCTTTTGAGAAGTGTCTGCTTCTCATAAAACAGTTTGTGTTAAGTACTTACGTATGGAATTTTTCACTTGTAGTGCCATGTCAGTGCTCAAAATTTTCAGATTTTGAAGCATTTCAAATTTTGAATTTTTGGATTAGAGATGCTTAATCTGTAATTATTTGGCTCTTCTTTGATATTTTAATTAATTTTTCTTTAGTGTTCTACACGCATATCCTCTACAAATTTGGTTGTATTTATGTCTAAGTATTTTTTTGGTGCTATTGTAAATGTTATATATGTTTTAAATTTCAAACATGTTCATGGCCGGTATAAAGGAAAGCAATTATCTTTTGAACATTAAATCTGTGGCCTGTGAAGTTGCTGTATTTACTTATTAGTCCTGTTAATTCTTTTGTAGATTTTTTGAGGTTTTCTGCATAGACAGTCCAGCCATCCATAAATAAAGACAAATTTATTTCTTCCTTTCCCATCAGCATATGCTTGTTTCTTTTTCTTCTCTTATGGTGATCTGCTAGAACTTCCAGTGTTAGTTGAATAGTACTGACAAGAGAGGACATCTTTGTCTTGTTCCCAGTCTTAGTAGGAAAGCTCCAGTTGCTCAATCTTCAGTATGATTCTACCTGTTGGCTCTTTGTATATATTCCTTAATGTTAGGAAGTCACACTTATTCCTAGTTTGCTGATAGATTTTTATAATGAATAGGTATTGATTTGTGTTAAATGTTTTTCTTTGTTAAATTGATATGATCATATGATTTTTCTTCAGTAGCCTGTTGATGTGTTAGATTATATTTGCTGCTTTTTCAAATGTTGAACTAGTCTTGCACACCAAATAAATCCCATTCAGTTATGGTTATAATTCTTTTTATATGTCATTGGACTGGATTTGATACTATGTGGTGAGTTATTTTGGTTTTATTTCTTTACTTGTGATGTTTGTATCTGATTTGCGGGTCTTTACCTATTTTAGGGTAATGCTGGCCTCATCAAATGACTTAGGAAGTGTTCCTTCTGCTTCTATTTTCTGGAAGAAATCATGGATAATTGAATTAATATCATTTCCTTCTTTAATGTTTGGTACAATACATCAGTCAATTTACCTGGGGTAACTTCTTTTTCTTAGAAAATTATCAATTCTAATAATTTATAACTAACCATTTATAACTCTAAATATAAATATAAATATATTTAAATATACTTTTTATTTTCAATATATATTTAAATAAATATAAATATATAAAATAAATAATAATTTATAACTCTAAAAATAATTTTCTGCCTTTATTCTTTCTGTGATGCTTTTCCTTTCTTCATATGGATCCAGATTTCTGACCTTTATCATTGTATTTGTGCCTAAGGAATTTTTTTTAATGTTCCTTGCAAAACAGGTCTGCTGGCAAGGAGTTTTCTATTTTTATCTGAGAATGTCTTCATTTGTCCCTTACTGTTGAATGATAATTCCACAGAATACCAAATTACCAAATTCCAGGTGATTGGGCTTTTTTTTTTTTCTTTTTCAGTGCATTAAATATTTCACTCAATTCTTTTCTTGACTGAGTGGTTTCTGATGAGAAGTCAGCTGTCATTTAAGTTAGTGATTCAGTTGAAGAGATTTTTTTTTATATTAGCCACCTTTAATTGTTTTTGACTCGGGAGAATTTTTCAATATAGCTAATCTATTATAATGATAGAAATAAAAATCTGCATTGAGAGTTATAAATGAGATTGACTTATGTTTTTTCTTTTTCTTTCAGCTTTTTCTGTCAGTGCTAAACTGTCTTTGCAAAGACTTTGGAAGTTATTTGTTGTTCTATAAATTCTGTAATAATAAAAATGGCACTGGCATTATTTGTACCATATAGCACAAACAAGTCCCCTGTAAAACTTTCTGCACCTTTTGCATTTGGAGGGATAAATATCAGAAGTGTTTTAAAAATGTTTCTAAATTCATGTGGAATTTTTGTTTCCTGGGATTAAATTGGACTTTGTGTTTATGTTGAAAAAATTTAATAATTTTTAATTTTTTTTTTTTTTTGATGGAGTCTCTCTCTGTCGCCAGGCTGGAGTGCAGTGGCGGGATCTCAGCTCACTTCAAGCTCCACCTCCCGGGTTCATGCCATTCTTCTGCCTCAGCCTCCCGAGTAGCTAGGAATACAGGTGCATGCCACCATGCCCAGCAAATTTTTGTATTGTTAGTAGAGGCAGAGTTTCACCGTGTTGGCCAGGATGGTCTTGATCTCTTGACCTCCTGCTCTGCCCACCTTAGCCTCCCAAATTGCTGGGAATACTGGCATGAGCCACTGCACCTGGCCAATAATCTTTTTTTTGTGTGTGTGAAAAAACTAATGTTTTGTCCCCACTCACCCCAAAGCCCTGTCTTTGGAATAAAATATGTGATTTGCATAATTTCTACTTTGAGTATTTGTTGAGTTTTATTTGTGGTTTACTAAATGGCCAACTTTAGTAAATGTGCATCTAACAATGAAAGTGAAGTTGCAATCTTTGTTTCAATGAATATATTTGCTTAACACATGTGGATGTTAACATAGATAATATAAGCACATTATATATTTAACTATATATGTTTACATTTTTCCATTTTATGAAATTCCTATACATTTTGTATCATATCATCCTGGGAAAGTATTCAATTTGAAGTTACTTTTTTGGTTGTTTGATTTCATTGTCCTCAGTCATTCATTGAAGGCTTTTAAAACATCTTAACCTTGTCTTCATAACCATGGTAATAAACTGTAGGCTGCTATCATGTCCATGCATAGAGAAAAGTGTTCATAGCATAAACAGCAGGAGCCCTAGGAATCCTGACCAGGGGCCAGCAAGAGGTGACCCCAGGGCAAAGTGCATTGGAGGCCAGATGCCAACTGTGGACTCAGTGACATCCAGCATGGATTTGTAAAGCAAATAAGAATTCCAAGAATTATTAGAGAATGGGATTCTCTTAAAAGAAAAGTTTATATGATTCTTAAGCCATTGTGATTTTTTTCATTAAAAGACTTGTAAATTCATAGTCTATTGAGGCTCAGAAGAAAACATTATGGTGATACAGTTGCCATTTACTTAATTTTCAAAATATGCTAAGTTGTTTGATATTTCTAAAATTTCTTCCGCACAATGTCTGTACCTTTTACAAAACTGTGAAATTAGGATATGTTTCACAAAATGTAACCAGAACAAAAAGTACATTAATTAGTTTGTATTTATGAATTTCCCACTCAAAGTGAATGTTGTCATTGCCAGCATGTATTTCTCCTTCTCTTCCTCCTAAAATTTTTAGGGTTCCATCTTAGTGAAAGCTGACTATGTTAACTTTTATAATAAAAGATCAGAGAGATAGAAAACTGGAGATAAGGTTTTTAAAAATCTGTTGAGAATGGAGGAAGAGTGATGACTTGAGATGATAAAACAGATGGGAAGTGGGAAGATGCTGTTATTAATGTTGTTGAGAATACTTTGATTCACTTCAGAAACTGAAAAATACGTCAATGATTTTTAGTTGGGGAAATGGTTTGGTTTCTGAAATGCTTTTGTTTGACTTCTAAATGATACAAACAGAACCACAGGTGTGAGTAAAATGGTTAATCCTATTTCACTATAGCAACATATTAATAAGCATTTCTGTAATATACCTAGAAAAAAAACTGAGGAGCAACTATCAGATGGCTTCTGAGAATTTGCTTAGCTCTTTGGCAACTGTTTTTTTGACTCTGGGTAGGAAAATACACAGTATTTAAAAAACAAGCGGTATTACAAATATTTAAAACTCGGAGTTATTGTATAAATTATGATGTATGTAATATTTTTTAAGCCATATTGAGATTACGGAGTTCATTTCTATCAGAGAATGATGATTCAGAAAGGATGTGTTTATTTTTAAACATGCAAAAGAGAACTGCTTGTATTGTAGGATACTGCATCTTCCATGATAGCTTAAACTTTTTTTGTCTGAAATTAACAGCCAGTGGGCCATGGTTATCATATTTCAATATTAACATTCTTTTTAAGTCAGTATAGACATACAACTCAATTTTACCATAATTTTGTGCAGTCAGTTATAGCCATCATCGTTATTTCTATTAAAAATTATAATCCAAAATATTTTGCCTTTCAAGTGGGAGACTCAGAAACAATTTTATAATATAAATGCTACATTAATATTGGCCTATAATTACAGTTTACTTTTATTTCAAATAATACTATTTCCACTAATCAGAAGCCAATTATTTGATTTATCTAATACCTAACTGTATAAATCTATAAATCATTTCTGTTTAGCAATCTTTGGAATAACATCTAATATATTTATGTTTTAATTCTCTTGATGTTGAAATTGAACTTGCTTTACAGGACTCTGTTTACTTTATTTCTAAGCCATTTTGCACATTCTATAAACTGCCTAATTACTAAAGAAAGTTTTTTATTTACAAAATTTTGAGCCCAGCTGTTTCCCATTTTTATGTTTTATGCACGAACTTGTTTACAAGGCACAAAAATAGAATTATGTGATTCATAAGAAAATGTTTTCTTATATTCTAAAGATTGCCCAAAAATAATCATTGAACAAGGCCAACATAGTTTCTCAGAGAAGGAAGACAAATTTATAAAGGAATATGGCCTATGTAGGTTTTTAGTGAAGCACGATTTTCTGGAATCAAGATTTTAAAACATGTGTGACTTCAATAACCTTCAGAACCAACTTCTTTTCTTGAGACAATCTGTGTGAATCTGGAAATTAGCTGCCTGTCCCTTTCTCCACCACATCCAATAAATTTTGCACTGCTATTTAGCTCCATCATTTATATGTGAATATAAGTTAGTGTAGCAGTGCCTTCAAGAAAAACCTGGCCATCCAGTTGCAAAAAGAACAGCTGGCTGATAGTCTTCAGCTGTTAGTATCTTCCAGATCTGCCTCAGCTTTTGAGCCAAGGCCAAGGACTTATGAGCAGTCCCAGGCAATGATTGGGCATGGTTTGGATAGTAGGATCTGGCAGTTTTTGCAAAGTGTGAGACTTATCTGACTAGCAGTCTTTGCTCCAGAGAAAAGATTGGGCTAATTCTTTGTTACAAATGCATTATAGTCTGAGACTCTCCCTGCCCAATCCTGCTTCCTCTATTCAGGGTATTACCTTTCAATAAATCTCTGGAACTTCTAACTTCATTTCATCATCTGACCATATATTATAAACTCTATATATCCACTGTCAAAAATACATTTCTAGACCTTATTTGATGAAGTAAGAGGAAAAAACAAACTCTAGACTTGGAGCCAGAGGATATGGGTTTAAGTCTTGTTTCCTAATATTTTCTAATTTTATGACTGGTAAAATTGCTTGGCCTCTCTAATGACTAGTGTGCTTATCAATAAAACAAGTGTCATAATATCTACATGCCCAGAGAATAGCTTGAGGCTAAAATGAGAGCATGCATGTAATGGATTTTTGAGGAATGTTCTAATGCATGGGCTTATTAAATTAACTAAATGGCCATCAATTTATTTCTGTGTTCTTAAATCTCACTCTTATCCTATCCTGTTGACAGTAATGCACTTAAAGTATAGAGATAGGGCCAAGTGGCCGATTTCTAGATTCGTAGGAACTTTTAACATGAAAGACAGAGTCAACCTTCATTTATCTGTAAAGGTGATATTATCGTATTTCTGCAGTCTTTTAAGGTATAATGGATATATCCCATGCAGATCTATCCAAGCAAAAAAGGCCAAGCAGAAGACTAAATGCTGAGAAATCAAACATGAAAACATGAGCTTTCTGCACTTAGATTTCTCAAAGACTAACGAGGCAATTTGCAGTGTAAACAAATGATCACAGCACAAGTTCCAGAAAGAGGTGTAACTACGCATTAGCAACCATAACAGTATAGGAATAAGTTGATAATTAACTCTTGCAGGATTGAGGGGGTGATTTTATATAGGAGGTTGTATTTAATCTTAATGTGAAAAGGTAAATTAGATATTCTTCAGTCCAATAAATATAGAGTGAGGAAAATGGATTCCAAGCAGACAAACTAGCATTTCCAAAGGCCTGAAGATACAAAATAACAATTTTCTTTTGAGAACACAATTTGTTGGTACAAATGGTGTTTGTGTCCCACAGGGGAACATGAGTACCTTAAGAGAGATGAGAGTGAAAAAAGCAAATGAGTTATGAGAGGTCCGGTGTACTAAAATAAAGTCTTTGACCTTGGTAGAGTGTGTGAGAGAGGACACCATTTTTAGGAAGAAGAGACAAAATTAGCTGCTTTTCAATTAAGAAGTTTTACTCTGACAGTAGTGTACAAATAGGATAGAAGTGGAGGATGAAGAGGCAAAGACTATAATAATGATTCAGGTGTGAAATCAAAGTGTGGTAGTGGTAATAGCTCTATGCAAAAAAAGACAAATGTAGGCACAGAAATGACAAGTATTGTCTGCTGATAGGATGCAGAGAGGAATTGCCATAGCACAGGGAGAAGGGAGAATCCCGAGTTGAACTTTCTTATTTATAGGTTAGGTGATTGGTTGTGAAAATGCGGGACATGGAAGATAATTTTTCTTTAAGTTTTTTTTTTCAATTTTGGAAAGAGGGAAAGGAGTATGGGTTAGAGTTCAGTTCTGGATGTAATGAGTCTGCGTTTTCCCTAAGATATTCTAACATGTGAATTAGGATTTATTTCTCTAACACTTAGGAGCTTTGCTGAGCTTCACCGTGCACTGAGTCCTTTAAGAGACTTCAGAATCAGCACCATGAAAGTGCTACTTAAAGCCATGTGTCTTTCGATTTGTCTGTGGGGAGAGAGTGAGGATAAAAAGAGAACTGGGATACCACTATAAAAGGGAACTATATATATAAAGGAAAAAGATCTACTTGTAACATAAAAGTTCCACTTTTTCCACACAGCAAAACTAATTTGAGAGTTTATAGCTGCCTGTTTGCTCAATGCAAAAATTCAATTACATGTGTAGAATAATGAATCTTTGCTTAATAGTACATTTTACTGAACTCATTATTTTTTCTACTATGAATTTTGATATAAACATAAGTTTAAAAATTCTATTTTATTTAATTTAAAGCTTAAAGGTAAACTGATAATGACAGCCTGTAGCTGGAGCTCCAGCTGTGGAGGAAATTCTTGGCAGCTACCAACAGTGGCCTTCAATCTTCAGGATTAGACCCATAAGTAACTCCATCTTTGTCACTGACACTTGCTTATGGTGGACTAATCTGGTACCCAAAGGAAGCAGAAATGCCTGTGTCACCCGCCCCAGCAGACAGATGCCTCCCCTTGCTCTTTATTTTGTGATGATAACATACGTAGAAAATATAATATGATTTTTCTATTTCAAGAGCAAACATCTATATGGAAGAAAGCAAATCTTTTTAGAAATAAAACAATTAAAATACAATTATCTGTACCTACAAGACTTTCTTTGTGTTTGCAAGTTAATTGCCTTCATATCATATAAGCTTATGTTGCTTTAACTATCTTTACATTGAACTCCGTTATTAGAAATTTACCTGTATCATGTCGTACAACTGGTTTCTATAACAAAGACATGCAAATGGTGACCAGGTGTATGATTGGATGGTCAATATCACTAAATATCAGGGAAATGCAAATCAAATTCATAAATATCACCTCACACTTGTTAGGATGGGAAGAAGAAGAAGGAAAAGGAGAAGGAGAAGGAGAAAGAGAAGAAGGATATAACTTCTCTAGATACTGCCCTCTGACAATGCCTGCTTATCTAATTATGCTGTTAAAAAACTGCACACCAGGTGTAGCAGCTCACACCTGTAATCCCAGCACTTTGGGAGGCCAAAGAATAAGAAGAGGCAGCAGCATCAGAAGAAGAAGAAAAAGAAGAAGGAGAAATAACATGTGTTGGCAATTCTGTGGAGAAATGGAACCTCTTCTACACTGTTGTTAGGACTGTAAATGTGCAGCCACTATGGAAAACAGTAAGGAGGTTCCTCAAAAAATTAAAAATGGAACTACTATATGATCCAGCAATCTTACTCTTGAATATATAGCCCAAAGAATTGAAATCATAAGCTTGCAGAGACATCATCACTCCCATGTTTATTGCAACACTATTCACAGCAGCCAAATTATGGACACAACCCAAATATCCATCAGCAGATGAATGGACAGAGAGAATATGGTATATACATACAGTGGAATATTACTCAACTCTAAAAAGAAAAAAATCCTTCCATTTGCAACAATGTGGATGAATTTAAAGGACATTATGGTAAGTGAAAAAGGCCAGGCCCATAAGGACAAATACTGCGTGATTCCACCTATATGAGGCACCTAGAATAGTCAAACTGAAGAACAATAGTTACTATGGGGTGGGGGAAGGAAAAATGGAAATTGAGGAGTTGTTCGATTCATATAAAGTTTCAGTTGTGCAAGATAAATTAGTTCCAGAGTTCTGCTGTACTGCATAATGCTTATAGGCAACAATGCTGTATGGTACACTTAAAAATATGTTGAGAGTAGATCTCATGTTAAGTGTTCTTATTACAAACAAACAGAAATCAATGGAACACAAAACCTTTTTGTGGTGATGAATATGTCTATTATCTTGATCCTGGTGATGATTTCATGGGTGTATACATATGCCCAAACTCATCAAATTGTACACATTAAATAAGTGTAATTTTGTATATAAATTATACTTCAATAAAGCTACTAAAAATAAAGATAGTAAATCACTCCCACTTTGAGTTAGTCTCTCAAACCATTGAAATTGGAATCATTAGCATACATTTAAAGTTACAGTTTAGATAGACTCAAAACGAAGGTGTCATTGCAGTGATCTCTTTTA
Source organism: Homo sapiens (assembly GCF_000001405.40). Classification (NCBI taxonomy): domain Eukaryota; kingdom Metazoa; phylum Chordata; class Mammalia; order Primates; family Hominidae; genus Homo; species Homo sapiens. The sequence continues at coordinate 188,725,333 of NC_000002.12, forward strand.
ATATGTGCTAGATATATACCTCCATTTAACCAAAAAAAGCACTGGATTTCTCTATTTACTAGGTGCTTTTGACACATAAAATGATCCTTTTTGTGTCTTTTGCTTCTGCTAAATTGCTCATTATTTTCAAATACATTTGCCATATCACCTACTTTCTTTGTGCTTAACATACACGCAAATTAGAAACTTATATTCTGGGTTGCTGGCAGGTCTATCTATAGTCCTGAAGTCTTCCACTGGAGGAGAAAATTGGAAGAAATAAGGTAAAATTGCACAACCTGGATACCAAAAAAGTGTAATCTGTATTCAACTTTTCTTTGCATTAACTTCTCAACAACCATGAACAATGAACAGATCTTAACATACTAGTGTAAAAAGATGCGATTTTTAATGACATCCTTATTAGTGTTGTCTATGTAACATTTCTGAAAATGTTTCCATGTGTTTTGAAATTCCTTTAAAATAAATATTCTGGAATAATATGAAGAGAAATAAAGATACTTTTGGGAGTGGGAGGGATGCTTTGGAAATCATCACATTCCAAATTCCCACTATCTTTTAAAGTATGACCTACATCATCTGGGGATAAAATAATATAAAGAAGCGAAAGTCTGTGAGATCACTTAAGTCTTCCTTCAAGTATCTGGAGAAGGCATCATGATCTTGCCTTACACAGCATACTCACAGTGAATAAATAAATAAGGGTGCATACCCAATATCTTATATTTTAACATTTTTTTTTCTTGGTTTCAACCTATTTAAAATACATACATTAAAATGACAAATTAACCACTTAAAAAGTTTTTGTAACTTATCTTTCAGTAGGATGCCCAAAATGTATGACTCATGAGAAAGGAATCTATCGCATGAAAACATTCAGGGAGTAGACATACTTACTAGAGTTTTGCTTAAGTATCAAGTCAGTTGTAATCACTTCGTAATCTAAAAATTATTTAGGGAATGCTCAACAGGTGAAATTTTAGTTTTGAGAAGACTTTGTGACAATTTTCTTGTAATTATAATTTTAAAAAATACTATCTGAACATTTAATATCTGTTAATTATCAAAATATATTTTAAAGTATATTTTAAAAGATCTCACTGGACTATTAGAAATGAGTTAAAATATAGACAAATTTAAAAATAAAGCAAAGTGAGGCATTTAAATGATCATTTCCTATTTTTAATTTTCTGAGAAGTTAGGTAAACCTACTTTCTGTCTCACCCCCTCCCCACAATAAAATAAATTATGTCATATTAAATAGCGAGAAGAACTAAAACATCAAATGTCAATGCAAGAGAATACATTTCTGGGCTGACAGAAACAGAATCAAGAAGAATGGTGGCCACATAGCATGGAATCAATTTATATCTGGCAATAACACTAAAAGAATAGAATTTCTTTTGTGAGATATTTTTTACATTGGGTCCAGCAATTTATGCATCATTAGTAACATCTGTGACCACAAAAAGATCAGTTAAAGCAAGGAAGGACAAAGAGAGAGAGAGAGAGAGAGGTAAGAGAGAATAGAGAAAAAAGTTTTGATTAATTCAGTTTCTTAACTGCACCTCTAGTTTTTTTGTGTTGTTTTCTAGTAACACGAAGTCATAAAGGAATCTAGAGTAGGCTAGATATGTGCAAATGTTTCCACTACATATCCACATGAGTGTACTAAATACAATCATATTTACGCCCCCTTCAGTGAGGTAGAGAAAGATAGCACTTCTTTGGATGATTTGTTCGGTTACAGGACAAGCTTGAACATGATCACTTAGTGCCTCACTCCTGTTTGTCAGGCTTTATATAAGAGCTACTTATGCTAAGGAACTATATCATGTTCATCAGATATAAATTATGTTTGTATTGCAACATTTCTATTAAAATAGATAATATTTTCAATGTTTATGTTGTTTATATTAGGCAAATCATTGTAGTTCTTCATAAGCAATAAATGGAATGGATTATCCTGCAAGTTAAAGAGTTTTGTCTTTTCTCTTGGGCCAACTTAAATGTTAATTGGCTGTCCACACCATGAGCTTTGGTTTTGGTAGTGTCATGTTGTGGACAAAGAATTTCAGTCTGAGTCCCACCTGACTGACAAAAGCATTTTGGCTCATTCTGAATGCCTGGATGTTTTCTTTCAAAATATTATTTCAACTGTAACCTTTCAAGGTACCAGCACTAATGCTTAAAGGAAGCATAACATTCTCCAAGGATTTCACAGAAAGAGTAACACAAAGTGTGTTCAATTAAATTTATTTACCATGATTTTAATTCCTAGTATGTGCCTACTATGTACATGAAAGTGTTTAATGCAGATTTTTTTTAAAAGTAAAATTATAATTTAAAAAAGCCCAAATACAAGATAAATTTCAAACTTTGGTAAAATAAATGTCTTCACATTTCACAGCCTTCATGTCATCATATAAAATCTGCCCCTAAAATTGATATCTGAATATTGAGGTGGTTAGTCCTTTGCTCTGAGGTATGTGAAGCAGTTCAGAAACAGAGTAGCTAACATAGTTTATTGCAGGGTAAAGATTCAGTATCTTCAGCAGCCAAAAATATTTCTAAGATTACTTCAGGATAAACCCACTGTGTATGGATTATTCTACATCGTGGCCATTTGCTGGCAATAAGAACTCTTCTCAGTTGGTGACTTAGTAATATGAGGTACTGACAGTGGCAATCAGATAGAAATGATGAAATTAGAGTTAACACTGGCACCAGCCCTCTGAATGTCAGTAGAAGAAACTTATCCTTTCTTCTCACTGCAGAAACATGACAATATTCACAAAACACACAGAGACAGACATAACATCTGCTCAGAATTATTGACATAATTCTCAATTATGTGCAAGCTACCAGAGAAGTCAGAAGGAAGTTAAATGAAAAACTTTTAGTTGTAGAAGCTTCTTAGGCTCCAAAGTAAGAATCACTACTCTATTGAAAAGTTATTTTACTAAGGGTAGAAAATTATTAGCTCTATTAATGAGGAATCTATCAACAGCATTAAAGCAGTTTATTTTAAGATTATATAGCAATTCTGCAGTGAAAATAAAGGACTGTTCTAGAAGACGAAGGTATGAATTACCGTTCTTTCTGCTTACACACACACACAAACATATATGTGTGTGTAAATATACATGGAGAAACACATCCCAAAAGGTTGAGTCTCCATAAATTTGTATTTATGTGTGTGTGTATAAATATTCATGCATATATCCATATATTATATTCTACATGTCTATATTATACATATGATATATATACAATGTATATAACCCATGTTTAAAAAATTTACACACACACACACACACACACACTCCTCTAGAGACTCAAACTTTCTGGTTCATTTTCTTCATCTATAAAATCAGAAAGCTGAACAATTGCTAGGGATTTTATGGCTATAAACATATTATTTAATAAATTGTATCGCTTTCCCTCTGGTAAAAATGACCACTGTAGACTGGTATGAGGCTAGAAAGAAAAAGTTGTCATTTAAGAATTCTATATTTGCAGGAATCATTTTTCTACCTACCTAGTGGAAACTTTTGAAAGTATTTGATAAGAACTAAAAAATTCATAAGAATATTAATTTATTAAATGTCAAGATATAGATGTAAGAGGAGGCAGTTAATATGTCTAGAGGAAATACAATCTTGAATAACTGTCAGGGCTGCTATAGCTGAATTTGAATAATCTGGAACAAAGCATGTATGTACTTGCCAAAAATACTAAAACTTAATAAATCTGTTAACACTGGTCTAGATGAAAGATATTTTGAGGCCTTCCACTTATGAGAACAGCCTTACATCCCACTATGTAGACAATATTTTCCTTTGATCTGCATTCTTAGTTAAGTGCATTCCTCTAGTATTTAAAATATATAAGCATGATAACCTGCTGGATAGAATGAAAAACCACAGGTAAATGCAGCCAGTCTAAATAAAATATATCTAAAATATATTCTCATTTTCTATCATATAGCCCTAAAACATTGACTATTCTTTTCTTCTATTAACAACATTAAGCAATACTTTTCCCATTTTCCTTTTAGACAGACTAATAGTAATTGATTGATCCATTCTAAGAAATGAAAAGGAAATCTCAGCTCCTCAGAGACTAACATCTGAAGTAATAATCAGAATAAATCTTATAAAAGATTTCTATTTTAATTAGAATTATTTCATTTTAAATATGTATGTATCATTTATTTTCCCCCAGTTTTATCCAAACCCACAGTTATACTTTGAAATATACATATTGAGTATATATTTATTTTTAATATGCCAGTATGATTTTAGAGTAAAATTTTTCAAGGCTTACTATGTTTATAACTTGAACTTAACTTTTAAAATCTTATTGTAATAGGTAATTTGTTCTGAGTTTCTTAATGACAAGGATACTAAAAGTCTTCCGAATATTAGCTCTGGATTTTGAAGTATTGTTACTGTAGATCAGTTGAATAAAACACACAGAGGACAGACTTCCCGTTTCTTTATTATAGAGAATATGGACTTTCTGAACATGCATGAGAATTTATGCCATATATTTTCCAAAACTGATAAGCCATGGTGACAGATAATAGAAAATGCTTGAGTATTTGTATTTTGGTATTGGGTGACAAATGTTTGGAAAAGGACTAGAGAAAATAGTGGCTTTTTTGTAGTCTCAGGCAGGCAATAAAGACATACCTGCCCTGTTATATTTTGTTTGTTTATTCTCTCTCTCTCTCTCTCTTTCCTTCCTTCCCTCCTTCCCTCCTCCCTCCCTTCCTTCCTCCCTTCTTTCCTTCTTTCCTTCCTTCCTGCCTTCCTTCTTGTTCTTTCTTTCTCTATTTCTCTCTCTCAAGATTAATGAACAAGGGAAATGAAGACTTAGCTGTTACAGGCTATCCTTTGAACCGGGTGGGAGCAACAGGGCACATACTCCAGAATCACTGGCTGGTCTAGAATCTGCATTAGCACCAGTTCTGGTAGGTCAGACCAACTCACTCAGTCTCTCACTCTGTACTTAGGCACAATTTATACCATTCCTTTTTATATTCATTCTACCACTATTTATTGAACAAATATTATGTGTAGTATATGAGTTACTGGAGATGTTAAAGTAAAAAAAAACACATGTACTTAACTTAGTTGGTTTATATTTGAAAGAGGAGAGTTTGTAAATAAGCAATTACAAGTATAGAGCCCATGTGGAAAGCTGGTATTGAACATAAAACTACTTAGAGACTGGACTCAACATGTCATCATGTCCCAACCCTTTCATCATCATCACCAAAGCAATTGCAACTCTGGAAGCATTCTGGTATGGAATGCATTTTCTTTTTCTATATCTGTAATCACTTCTTTAACAGCTGAGAGTTCTGTTTTATTTTCTAGGCCCATTATCTCTCTACTTTGTCTACTTATCCCACTTTCTCCCTTCCTCCTCTCTAACATCCTTTATAGGCTCAGGTGATTTTGTGCTGGCCCTCAACTTGCATCTGCCACTCAACAACAGTAAAAAAGTGGCCAGGCCTAAGGAATCTTCCTTTAGGAATATTTCTTCAACTTAGGATCATCTCAGGTCATAACTCTAGCAACTTCTAAGTAAACGTTCTGTCTTTTAAGGGCAGGGGCTGAATTCTCTTGCTAAGAAAATTAGACTTTCTTTGTCCTGGTAACATAAAACAGCAAGATACTTGCTTTTATAAAGGTGGGTGGAAAATGAAATAGAAGATTTAGTCATTCCTGGAACAATCAGGGAGGACTTCATCGAGGAGGTAGCCATTGAATTGAGATTTCGTGGTTGAATAACAGTAAAAACTATCTAGGCCATTGTCTCCAGCCTTCTTCCTTCCTCTGAACCACTTTCCACCCCCAATACAGCCCTGCTTCTCCTTTCATCTCTCAACTAGCTGACCATGTTTGTCCCCTCTCAAGCAAACTCATACACTTATGGCCCAGATTTTATTTTTTCCTGGCTTTTTTTTTTCTTTTGAGAGGAAGTCTCGCTCTGTCGCCTAGGCTGGAGTGCAGTGCCGCGACGCGGCTCACTGCAACCTCCGCCTCCCGGGTTCAAGCGATTGTCCTGCCTCAGCCTCCCGAGTAGCTGGGACTACAGGAGCGTGCCACCATGCCCAGTTAATTTTTTTGTATTTTTAGTAGAGATGGAGTTTCACCATGTGAGCCAGGATGGTCTCGATCTCCTGACCTCGTGATCTGCCCCCCTCGGCCTCCCAAAGTGTTGGGATTACAGGCGTGAGCCACCACATCTGGCCTCGCCGGCTTAAAGTGAAAAACGGAACAAAACTCAGAGTTTCTTCAAATGACCATGGTGTCATGGGTGTGGAATGCTATGTATGTGTTTGGAGATGTAGCAGGAGATGGTAGAAAGGGCAAAATAGAAGACCACAGGGAGGGACATGTTGAAGTGTCAGAGGCAAAGGCACAGAGGACTTGTGGAGTTAAGTAAAATATTTGCCTTTCACATGTGTCAGTGACTTATGCATAAAGATTTGGCCATGGAATAGGGAACATTGCCAACAAATCCGAATAACCAAAAAATATATTAAAAATAATGGTAATTTGTCTGGGCATGGTGGCACACGCCTGTAATTCCAGCACTTTGGGAGACTGAGGCGGTCAGATCACGAGGTTAGGAGTTCAAGACCAGCCTGACCAACATGGTGAAACCCCGTCTCTACAAAAAAATAAATTAGCCGGGAGTGGTGGCGCGCACCTGTAATCCCAGCTACTCAGAAGGCTGAGGCAGGAGAATCGTTTGAATCCAGGAGGCAAAGGTTGCAGTGAGCCGAGACCACGCCACTGCACTCCAGCCTGGGTGACACAGCAGGACCCTGCCTCAAAATAATAATAATAATAATAATAGTAATTTATACTTTATGTAGACTGTTCCATTTTTTCTAGTTACTCTGATGAATATAATGCATATACAAAGCACTAAATGCCATAGTAATTTTTTAACAAGTTTTGTTTAATCTTAAAAGTAATTTTTAAAAAATTCTCAATACCTTCAGTAGTACCATTCAACATCAAACTAGTCATTATATGTGCCTATCTTAATTTTACTATCTCATATTTAGGAATCTGGATTTTCAGAAAAGAAATACCAGAGAACAATTATTCATCTTATTAAGGATTCATTCAAGAATTCCATTAAATCGTAAGCTCCTCTAGGAATTTACAAAATTTGCATTTATTTGAAACTTTTTAAGGGAGAAATTTGTTATAAAAACCGGAAACACGTGATGCTATGTTTTCCTACAATTTCCAGACAATATTTAAGTATTAGTCTTATGTAATGTGCACAAGAAATGCCAACTCCTCAATGAGATATTTTTCAACCCATCAGAGTTGGAATTAGTCTTTCTCCTTCCTGTGCTTTCACTAAACTTTTATTTTTTGACCTCTTTTAATGTTTACCTCCTTTTATCCTTCTATCCATGTTTGTTTTACACATGCTGCCTCCCCAGGTAGATTTTTGAGACCCAAGCTATGTTGTACCCATTTTTCTTCCTCTATGATTCATAGCAAAATGCATGAAACATAGCAGATACATAATAAATGCTTGCTAACATGCATGTAGGAGTAATGAAAGTACATATTGGAATTTAAACATAGAAATTGAAGGATATTGGATAAAAAAATATTTGATAACAAATGCTGCATTAGGAGTTATTTTAGGAATGACTTAAACTAGGTCTCTGTTCTTCGGAGTTAATTCCTCAGACAATAAGCATATGTATTCCAAATGTTTCTGTTTTGCTTCAGTAACAAGAAAATCACAAGTGTAACTATCAACATATTATCCAGAATAACATTTTTATGTCATCTAAATGGAGGATGGAAAATGTTTTTGCAAAGGAATTCAATCCAGAAATTATTTATTAAAACCCAACTGTGTGTGTATATGTATGTGTGTAAAACAACACCAGGTAGGGATAATAATGGAAAATAAATTTAAGATCTAGAATCTCCAATCAAGCAATGAACACCCTAGATAATTAATGTTCTTAACAAACTTTTTAAAATCAAATTTTCTTACTAAAAATCAAATTTTCTTACTAAAAATCTGGCCAATTTATGTTTTTAGTTCAATAATTTGAACATTGCTTTCAAATTGTTTTCTGACACCTTTACTAGCAATTGATATTATCCATCTTTTTCTTCAAATTTCATTAATATAGGGAATGAAAAATTGTTTCTGTTTTAATGTGCATTTTCCTAATTATTAGTGAGGGTGTGTGTCTTCTAAATGATTACTGGCCACTCCTATGTATTGGCTGTTAACTATCTATTTATATATTGGCTTCTTTACATTGAGTTTTTTACGTTTAGGAGTGAAATTTTAGATCTTTTAAAATGTATTTTATGTGTAAACCCTTTAGTATATGTGCATTAGTCTGTTTTCACACTCTATAAAGATCTACCTGAGACTGGATAATTTATGAATAAAAAAGGCTTAATTGACTCACAATTCCACAGGCTTAATAAGAAGCATGACTGGGAGGCCTCAGGAAACTTACAATCATGGCAGAAGGGGAAGCAAGGAACTTCACATGGTGACTGGAGAGAAAGTGCAAGAGGGGAGGTGCACACACTTTTAATCCATCAGATATTGTGAGAACTCACTCACTATCATGAGAACAGCAAGGGGGAAATCCGCTCCTATGATCCAATCACCTCCCACCAGGCCCCTCCTCCAATTTGCCATAAGATTTGGGCAGGGACACAAATCCAAACCGTATCAATATGTATTGCAAATATTTACCCAACCTTTTCACTTGTTTTTTAATTTGCTCTACAGCATATATTGTCACACAGATATTTTTATTTTAATGCAGGCTAACGTAACTACCTTGTTTCTTGAATTTACATTTTGAGGGTTACTTGATATTGTCTTCAGTTCTACAAATCAAAATTATGATTACATTCCTCAGTTATACATATAACATGATATAGGTTTTTAAAAGTAAATGTTTTGGTCTTACTGAAATTTCTTTTTATTTTGTTTATATTTTAGTGTAGAGATTTAACTTTATATTTTTTCCTAGATGAAAGTCAGTCAAATATTTCAACATGATTTAATGTCTTTTCCAGTTTTTCTCTGAAAGAAATTCAGAACAGTTAAGGAGTACATTATGGAATGGACTTATCTAAGAATCAAGGAAAATCGTTATTGAATGAAGGGAAAAAAACACAACCTCTTTTGAGTATGAGTACAAACGAATAAAGGGAGATGAGCAGCAGCAGGGCATTGTAATTAGGTAAGGCTTAGTTGGTTTAATATTTTCCACCCCCTCAATGAGTTAAGACACTTTAGCCTCACAGTATTCAATTCAGACCTAGAAGAAAGTTGATCCTTTGTTATTGGTTTATAAAAGCATGTGTCTGAGATGATGGAAGGCTCCAATGTTGCAGCAGCAGAAGAACAATTTTGAGCATTCTGGACCTCTATACACATGGGGTGGGCATTGCTGAGTGGTGGCAAGTAACAGGAAACAGGCTTCTTGCTTCCGTGGTCTGTGGTGGGCAGTGATGTTTGCAGTTTTGCAGGCTGCATGTGGGCCTCAGGCATTTGTCAGGGTGGGTGGTCGGGCTGTTTCTCTGCATGAGTCAGAAGAAGGAAGAGACCCAGCTGAGTATACGAAATAAATTCATTCCATTTGATTTCTCTGTTACAAGAATACTATAACTATTAGCTAATGTTAAAATTGATGTCTACCAGGGATTATGCTAAAATTTACAAGTATATATTTGGCTAAGGTCTCTGAAAGAGGGATGAGTAGATTGAGATCAAAGAATAAGCAAAATAAGATATATTCTGTAAATGAAACTGTAATAACTTTTATTCACTATATGAATGCTATTTACCTCCCCGACAACATATAGAATATCTTCTTCAGAGAATAAATTGCTTCTAAGCCATCGTAGAAATTTTCCGTTTTTTTTCAAAACTTCAGATTACAAAATATTTCTATTTACATAATATGGTTTTTGATGAATTGCTGAAATTTCTCACTTCAACTTTTTGGGTTGTTTAATATTAAGTGTAAGAAACTACTTAGGAAATTTAAACATTATTTACTACATGATAAGAAAAAGATATAGTTCGATGTATTTCAAAATTTTTATTTCATAGATAATGTATCATCATAGATGTATCATATCACCACCCTTAAGCTTTGCACCTGGGTTGGCTGAAATCTGAAATCCCAAGTCTAATTTAATATAAGTTTTTATTTTAGTCTTCTCAGGCACAGTCTTGAATCATTAAGTTGTCTTCATTTGCATTAGCAATAGTTATGAATCCAATTTCGCACCATGAGTGACTTTTAACTTCATCCTTACTGATATAAATATCACAGTGTACTAGGGATGGAAGAGAAGCCTGCAGTAGAATCAAATACAGGAGAAAACAACCTATAATGCCCCTGGGTATTTGCAAACTTGGAGTATTTGAGAAGAAATAAATTGTTTTAGTGCATCTTCTCCAGCTTTCTTGATAAAAAAAAAACTGGCAAATTGAGGCACACAAAGGATAAGTGAGTTGGCTGATAAGGCAAAGCTAATTTGTTCAGAGCTGGGACAAGCCCCTAGTCCCCTGAATTCCAGTGTTTCAGGATTCTTTTCTGATGTTTAACTACCTGCCTAGATGTAACATATTCCAATATTTGAATTTAAATAACGTCGTATTATTGACACTCTTAATTCTAGACAATATTTTAGGGTGAAGTGTGTAAGTTCTGGAGAAATATGATATATTTCAAATCCTGACTATTGTTTCCTAATTGTATGACTCTGGCAAGTTACTTAACCTCTCTAGATGTCTATTTCTTCCATTGGCAAAAATAGGACTCCTAATTATTAATGTTATATCTACCACAAAATCCATCATAGGGCTCAAATAGGGTAATCCCTCTAAAGCACTTATATTAGCACTCAACACGTATTGCTCAAGACGAACGTTGCTGATTATTATTTTCATCACAGTCTCAAACTTTGCTATTAAGTGTTACTGTTCCTTATCACATATTATTTTGAACTATATTTACTTTATCTCATATATAATGCTTTCTGATGGATAATCCGACCCATTCTGGAAATTAGCATATACCCCAGTCAGATGGATGCTTAAGGGTTGAGGTGTCTTCCTTTGAAAATTATAATTTAATATAAGTTGTTTCATATACATTATTAAGAGAGACATTTAGCCTACTTTAATTATTCTGCAAATACTTATTAGCTTGCCTTTCAGTGAAAGAGACTATCATTTGCATATGTAACAATCTGAAATAAAATTATAGGATATATGTGCACCACACCTGCATTTGGAAGCATGGTATATATGTGTAAGGAATTGTATATCTTTGGAAGCCTGTCACTTAGCTTAATTTAGTTTTTCCAATTTTTAAATATTTTTCATTAATTAGTTGTGATTTCTCTATACATTATACCTCTTTTGTAACTGTGGGAATGTCTAAGTATATTTCTGAAATTTATATTTTAACAATTTGGCTCATAATTACACTTGTCTTTGCCAAGTACTGTGGTAGATGCTAGAGATAAAATTAAGGAGAAATGATTCCTCAAAATGCTTATACACCTCCTAGTTTATTTATATTGTGTTAGAGAACAAATGCTTATATTTTGAAATGTTAAAAAGGCACAGCATAAGGAAAGAGATAATCAAAATTGATAATCTGAATGGTTTGGGATTTTGTGTTTTCTATCTGGTAAAGTTGACCTCATTTACATGCGAATTCCTATATTTTGCACATGAAACTGAAGGTAGAGAGTCAGAATAAAGAGGTAACATGGTTATCCATCTGGTTTCTGCAGTCAGACTTATCTGGGTTCATTCAATCCTTATTCATCATGCATTTGGACAAACTAGGCAAATTAGCTAACTCATTCAAATCTTACTGCTGACATAATAAGAGTACGCAACGAATTGTTATATGGATTAAATAAAAAGTGATAATTCATTAAAAGGTTTTAGTCCAGTATCTGGCATATGGTAGGTACCCAATAAACATTAATTATAATTTCATGGGTATGAAATTTTGGCATAGATATCCATCACCAATTAAAGATACAGTGTTTCTTTCATACCTTAATTTTTGTTCCTTTGTGTACTCCTCTAATCCCTAGTAAAAAAAGACTAGACGGTCTTATAAAAATAAGAATCTTTTAAGTGGCCTCCCACAAAACTTATTACATTCTTGACAAATACTTCCTTTTCAGGATTGACATAAATTCATGAAAATTACCCTAAACAACTGGATAGTACACAATAAAACAGTGACCTTTTGAACTTACATTCTTAATTCCTAATTACAAAAATTCTCTTGTTTCTAAGAATAAAGTCAATGCAGTTATTGTTTTTTATAATATGGTTGTTAATTTTATAAAATATTTTCCAAATTCTCTTACGGTATATAATAAAAGGAACTGTGTCTATTTTTGTAAGTTCGAAGTCAGATAGGACTTTTTGCCAGTGACACAAAATAGAATGCCATTATGTTTAACAACACGCAGCCCATTATTCAAGGAAGAGCATAAAGGATCAAAAACCCTACTGGATTAGAAATGCTGAATATCATCCTCTAAATGTTGACTGCTCAAAATCTGATTTAAAACCATACTATCTAAGCCTGACAATGGTGAGCTGGCTCAAGAATTAACTAAATAATGTGCCATGGGAAGGAAGTAATGTTCTGTCTGTCCAAAAATTCCTTCTCTAACGTTAACAAAGCAATATAAAGCTCATGCCATGAGAGAAAACAATTTTGATTATTATTTATTAATTTGATATGCGTTCAGTTGTCCAACATGGTAAACTCATTTTCACTCTTGCCCTTTGAAATATGAGGGTTTAATGAAAGCATCCACATAATTCTAAATTACATGATGATAAAAACATTTTTCTTCTTAGCCAACAGTGTGTTCTTTGATTTAGAAACAGTGGACCGTTAAGACTGGAGTAGATAAAGTGGATTAGGTCAAGGAAGGGGATGGAAAGGAAACATGAATTGAACAACAAAGTAATGTAATGTATCCTTTTAAAATTATCTTGAAAAAATAAATGTAATTTTGAATATTTATCACAGGTATGGATTTTATTTTTATTATATTTCAAAGAGATACTTAGTAGTAATAACTGGATATCCAAAGCCTTCTTTTATATCTACTTTTTTTTTTTTTTTGGTTTTGTAAATGTATCCTGCAGACTTTTTCTTTTTACAGGTTTGCCACATGGGTATATTACCTAAGGCTGCAGTTTAGGCTTCTAATATACCCGTCACCCAAGTTGTGAACATAGTACCCGGTAAGTACTTTATCAATTCTTCCTCCCTCCCACCTTTTGGAATACCCAGTGTTTATTGTTCTCATCTTTTTGTCTGTGTGTACACAATGTTCAGTTTCCATTTCTAAGTAAGAAGGTGTGGTATTTGATTTTCTGCTTCTGCATTAATTTGCTTACGTAGAATAGTTGAATTATTCAATGATATAAAAATATTAATATTAAAATTATACATAGAGAGGAAAGGTCTAAAATTAAGAATCAAAATCTCCACATTAATAAGATAGAAATGGAAGAAAAAATATATTTAAATTAGGCATAAAAAGGAAATAATAAAGATAAGAGAACTAGAAAAAATGGCAAATAAAGAAAAATAATAAAGCTAAAAGTCAAGTTGTGAAAAAGTTTAATAAAATTAATTATCTCTTCCCTAGACTGATCAAGAAAAGGGAGAAGTACATGCAAATATCCAATGTAATATATGAAAGATAAGAGTACTTCCCAACTCTTGAGACTAATTTTCATAGACAACCTGATAAAAGTGTTATGAGAGAAGGAAAGGGTAAAATGATACTTTTCAGAAACACAGATATGCAAATTCTGAATCCAATAATAGCAGATTAAATCAATAAATATTTTAAAAATATGATACTTTATGATCATAAGGATTTATCCCAGGGATTCAAAGGTAAACATTTGAAAATTAATACATAAAATACATGATGTTAACAGAAAATTGACAAAAAGTGTATGATCATCTAAAAACATGCAGAAAAAGATTTTGACAAAATCCAAAAGCCATTCAAGATTTAAAACTTTCAGCAAATCACAGACAGAAAAGCAGTTCTACAATGAAACCAAAACTCAAGGAAAACTTATAGCTAATGTGATAGCTATAGCGTAGCTATATAATAGCATTAATTGTAGTACTGAATGCATTCTTTCACAATCAGAAGAAAGGCAAATGTATCCATCACACCATTTTCATTCAAATAATATTAATTTCTCAATCTGTCTTTGAACTGTGTTACCTGGAAACAACATTTGGGAGAGGCTCAGGGACTCTAGGTGGAGAAAGATGTGAAGAGGCTGAGTGTGTGAGCTCCAGGAAACACTTCCAAAATTTGATCAGAGAGATCTTGCCTCTATCTGTTTTATATATTGGATGCTATTTAATAATTAGTTTTAAACAGAAAAGTTTTAATTAAAAAATGTTGGAATTTTGTTGCTAGGAATACTCTCTTAAATATCTCAAATTCTGAGATTTTGTGTTAGAGATAATGATCACTAAGTAGAACCTGTAGGAAGTGACAAGTTTCTGACAATAATCTATATGGAAATTTTATTTTGTATTTTCTAAAAATATTTAGTTATTACCTCTGTAACAAGAAAAATTACTTATTTAAAAATGTAGTATTTCTGAAATTTGGAGGCATTTTGCCTGCCACAAGTGAGGTCACTTGTGATACACTTGTTTTTATGTAAACTAGGCAAACATAGTGACAGATAAAATACATATTCATCTGACAGTCACCACACTTATTTACATGGATAGCACCGCATGAGATTAAATCTGATTTCAATTTGGATACCAAATTTGTAGTTCAGATGCCTGCAAATATTATAGCAGTGAGGTAAAAAATGTCTGTATACTATACCTATTTATTTTCACATGACAGAAAATGAAAATACAACTAAATTTCTTGAAATAGTTCATAAGATGTTCTTAGCTATGTAGTCTACAATGGATAACTCAATCATTCCAAAGTCAAGAACAGATCAAGTCCTTTTTCTGTCAAAAGTTACCTGTTGACCTTTAAGAGAAGCCATTATACTTCTGGAAACATACAATTTAATAAAAGGGGAAAAAGTTTGTTAATTCAACCAAATTCAAAATTCTGATAAAACATTGACATTCTTCAATATAACTCAAAATTACAAAGATAATTCTAAATATGATAAAAAGATCAAGATTACAAAAACAAAAAATACAAAATAGGCCACTGTGATATTCAAAAGTAATTCAGAACACACTTTAGCTTTTGAAAGTTCAGAAGGCTCAGTTACAGACTTCTACCTGAGTCTGCAAAAGTAGGAGATATAACTGTGGCAACCATGAAGACACTCCTCTCCTATCTCAGATCTCCACTGCAGGAAGCATAACTGACCAATGACCCGTGGTCCCACATGCTACAGTTTGAGATCCATCATTGAATGTGCACAGAGGCCACAGTTCCCAGGTACCCTCTCAACCAATGATGGTGTAAGGCAGAGACCAAATCCAGGCACTTTTCTCCCAGGCCACTTTGACTTGAAGACCCCTCATTGGTTTTGCTGAAACTTTCTTTATTAGTAGTAGCAGTAGTATACTTTAAGTTCTGGGATGCATGT
The DNA here is from genome assembly GCF_000001405.40 of Homo sapiens. NCBI lineage: Eukaryota > Metazoa > Chordata > Mammalia > Primates > Hominidae > Homo > Homo sapiens. The sequence goes on from NC_000002.12 coordinate 188,741,041, forward strand.
ACACAATATGCAGGTTTGTTACATAGGTATACATGTGCCATGGTGGTTTGCTGCATCCATCAACTCATCTGCATTAGGTATTTCTCCTAATGCTATCCCTTCCCTAGACCCCACCCCTCAACAGGCCCCAGTGTATGATGTTCCCCTCCCTGTGTCCATGTTTTCTCATTATTCAACTCCCACTTATGAGTGAGAACATGCGGTGTTTGGTTTCCTGTTCCTGTGTTAGTTTGCTGAGAATGATGGTTTCCAGCTTCATCCATGTCCCTGCAAAGGACATGAACTCATCTTTCTTTTTTTGGCTGCATAGTATTCCATGGTGTATCTGTGCCACATTTTCATTTTCTTTATCTGGTCTATTATTGATGGGCATTTGGGTTGGTTCCAAGTCTTTGCTATCGTGAACAGTGCTGCAATAAACATATGTGTGCACCTGTCTTTATAGCAGAATGATTTATAATCTCTTGGGTATATATTCAGTAATGAGATTGCTGGGTCAAATGGTATTTCTGGTTGTAGATCCTTGAGGAATCGCTACACTGTCTTCCACGATGGCTGAACTAATTTACACTCCCACTAACATTGTAAAAGTATTCCTATTTCTCCACGTCCTCTCCAGCATCTATCGTTTCCTGACTTTTTAATGATCACCATTCTAACTGATGTGAGATGGTATCTCATTGTGGTTTTGATTTGCATTTCTCTAATGACCAGTGATGATGAGCTTTTTATCATGTTTGTTGGCCACATAAATGTCTTCCTTTGAGAAGTGTCTGTTCATATCCTTTGCCCACTTTTTGATGGGTTTGTTTGTTTCTTGTAAATTTTTTTATGTTCCTTGTAGATTCTGGATATTAGCCCTTTGTCAGATGGATAGATTGCAAAAAATTTCTCCCATTCTGTAGGTTGCCTGTTCACTCTGATGATAGTTTCTTTTGCTGGGCAGAAGCTCTTTAGTTTAACTAGATCCCATTTGTCAATTTTGGCTTTTGTTGCCATTGCTTTTGGTGTTTTAACCATGAAACCTTTGCCCATGCCTATGTCCTGAATGGTATTGCCTAGATTTTCTTCCAGGGTTTTTATGGTTTTAGGTCTTACGTTTAAGTTCTTAATCCATCTTGAGTTAATTTTTTGTATAAGGTGTAGTTTCAGTTTTCTGTAGGTCCAGTTTCAGTTTTCTGCATATGGCTAGCCAGTTTTCCCAACACCATTTATTAAATAGGGAATACTTTCCTTTCCTCCTAAACTTTCTTTTCTTCTCTCCTCCACGAGGATTGAACCTACTTTGTGTTCTGAAAACTCTCCTCTCCTTTTCTGTCCCCAATAACATTTTTCTTCACAATTGTTTTCCCAGTAAATCTCTTATGTGTTTAATCCCTACAGCAGATCTGCTTCTCAAATAATCCAAATTAAGATAGTAACCTAAAATTCTGTTGGCAAAAGTTTCCTTTTGCTTGTAAGTCAGTTAAAAATGCAATATATAAATAATTTCCAGAAAAACCTGTAACTACATTAGTATATATCTTATAACTTATAGCATCTTAGAACTGAGAAGTTACAGTAATGGTTGTAGTTTGTTGAAAATTTGTTGAATGTTATTTTGTCCTTTGAAATTTTTGTGATGTGAGCATAAGCCCTGTAACCCATTTTGTGTGAAGTCAAATGTGTTGCTCATGATTTCTCCAAAGTGCCTTGGGCTTACATTTGAATGACCATTGCTAGCTCTCAATTACCGCTTCCTCTGCATTCTTGATTTCATTTTTATCTCTTCTTGCATGAAAGAATTTTCTCATGTCTTCTTTTGAAATATAGGACTCAGCTACTTTGACTTACTTTGAAAATGCTCATGGACACACACACACACTCCCACACACAGACCCATAAAGCACTTATATATGTATAATAGAGTTTACAAAAGGTTCAAGAAATCAGAGAGAGAGATTATAAAGAATTAGAATTTACCTGAATATTAGATAAATCTATTTTAAAAGTCTTTGGTCAACCAGAAACCAGGTTTTTACTAATCTACTTTGTCTTTAGGTTCTATCCTTCTGCTATGATGCCCACATTTGTTTGTTTGTGTATCTCTTTCTCCATCTTCCTCCTCTCCTTTCCCTAGTTTCCTCCTACCCTCAAATTTGTATTTATTTCTTAGATACTTAAGCCATTTCTTTACTGACTCTTGCCAATTCATACATTCAGATCTCTCTCTTCTAGAATAGTCAGCAATTCATACAGTAATGCTATCTAATAACCTCAAATTTGTAATAAATCATAACAACAAGATATATATTTCTCATTCATAGGTCTCTGGGTTATAGTTCAGTTCATCTTATATGGGTTTGCCTGGGCTTACTTATACTACAGATTGTGATTCTTAGCAGCAGCTATAAAGGGCAGGTTCTTTCCTTAGTGGATAGTGGAGAATCAAGAGGTTAATAAATACCATTTTACCCAGCAATCCCATTACTGGGTATATACCCAAAGGATTATAAATCATTCTACTATAAAGATACATGCACTCTTATGTTTATCGCAGCACTGTTCACAAGAGCAAAGACTTGGAACCAACCCAAATGCCCATCAATGATAGACTGGATAAAGAAAATATGGCACATATACACCATGGAATACTATGCAGCCATAAAAAATGAGTTCATATCCTTTGCAGGGATGTGGATAAAGCTGGAAACCATCATTCTCAGCAAACTAACACAGGAACAGAAAAACCAAACACCACATATTCTCACTCGTAAGTGGGAGTTGAACAATGAGAACACATGGACACAGGGAGGGGAACATCACAACAGGGCCTGTTGAGGGGTGTGGGGATAGGGGAGGGATAGCATTAGGAGAAATACCTAATGTAGATAACAAGTTGATGGATGCAGCAAACCACCATGGCACGTGTATACCTATGTAACAAACCTGCACTTTCTGCACATGTTTCCCAGAACTTAAGGTATGATATAATAAAAAAAGTAAGTGAATATAAAGCCTTGCTTTGTGTCATATTTGCTAATATTCATTTGGCTGAAGCAGCTTATAAGACCAAGCCAAACCAAAATCAACAATGTAGGTAAATATTTTTTACCTATAATGGGAGGTACTGTAGTCACATGGCAAAGTATACTTATGTATAATTCCTTAGAAGGGAGGAACAATGAGTATACAAAGTATACTTGTGTATATTTCCTTAGAAAGGAGGAACAATGACAAAAAATTGTGAAAAATTCTTCCAAGTAAGTATTATTACATGAGTCAATATTCCAAAATACATAAAGAAAACTAATGTTAAAATGGATAGAAAATGAAATCAACAGTTGCTAGATAAGTTCACTCCAAATAAAATAAAAATGATTAAATAATCTGAAAAAAATTGATTGTATAATAAATATATTTATAACTCTTAAAAAGATAAGTAAAAGCCATATGCAGAGAATAAAAGTTTCAAGAACAAGTAGAATTAACACCTGTAGAAGCAAGTAGGAGCCCTGGAAATGGAAACTAGAATCATTGAAAGTAACAACGACACTAATTAATCAACTCAGAGATAGTATTGAGGAATTCTCCCAGGACACAGCATAGAGAGATGCAAGGGTAAAATACATCATAAAACAGTCTGAGAAATGGAGCATAGGTTTGGAAGTGTCAGTATAAGTCTATGAGGAGTTCCAGAAGAAAATAGCAAAGAGCAGAACAATTTTTGGAGAATGGGTGGGATATTTTACAGAATTAAAGACATGTAACCTCAGTTTGAAAGTGATAATTGAAAGTACAAAGCAAGATATAAATGATAAAGAAGTAAATACCCATAGCTAAATGCTTCGTGAATGAAAACATTAGAGATGATGAGAGAAAACAATTACCAACAAAAGAACTGTCGATCCAGACTCTGACATCCAATTAATCTACCATCCAAACATGAAGATAATATAAATAGATACACAAAGATAAAGTTGGGAACAATAGACACCGAGGACTATTACTGGAGAGAGAGAGACAGGCAGCATGGTTTGAAAAACTACCTATTGGATACAATCAATGCTCACTACCTGGGTGACAGAATCCATACCCCAAACCTCAGAATCACATAAAATACCCATGTAATGAACCTGCACATGGATTCTCTGAACCTAAAATAAAAGTTGAAGAAAAAAAAGATGAAGAGAATTTTATGATCCATAGCCCACACTGTAAGAACTTTTATAGAAATAAGCAATTTCATATCATTTGTCAAATTAAAAGTGATTTGCCATTTGCTATTTTATTCAAATTCTCAACAATCAGAACCAGTGTTATTTATATAATCTTCAACAAAGTAAAATTGAAGTTGCAGGAATGACAGGTAACATGCTCAAATTCATACAATAGTACCAGACTCTAACGCAGAGTTTCTTAAATTAATCCTCACTCTATTTCTAATACATAAATAATTACCCACTTACAGAACATTTGGTCCCCCAGATAAAAGGAGTGATTCTAGAATTATAATACAAACCAGGGATTTTGATGCTAAGCATAAGTTCTGCAAATATAAGTTACTGTACATCACATACAATCAGATAAAAATCAGCATCTAACCTTTTTCCTGGTATGTTTATGTAGAGAACACTAAAAGAATCTTCTGATTTTATGAGAATTATTTTCTGAGGATTTGGCATGGCTGTGTGTAGAGTCTGTGTGCAACTATTATTGTATTTACTTATTGTCATTTATTTTGTTTACTTCATTAATGGAGTCAACTATCAATGGACAGCTGCAATGATTATTGGAAAGTCTCTTGTTTTCCTTGCTGGCACAGTAGAGGCATCTTTCAATTCACATCTTACCCTTGACTAACTGATAAAAAAGGATTTACCTATCATTTAAAACAAATAAATAGAAACCAGAGAATTTGTTTTCTTAGGACCATAATACTGTAGATGTCTCAGTCTTTTCAGAAGACAGAATGGAAACTCATTTTCTGAGTTTTGCATAAGGTCATACTACATTTATCTTTCAGGTATTTATTTTCCGGGCAATAATAGAGTTACATAATTGGCCCCATGCTTTAAAATAATCAATTACTCTGACCTCATGCGAAGCATATGGAATATGGTTAGTGGATGCCAGTCATTGCTATCATAAAATATAATAACTCTATTCCCCAAAGCACAAGAGAATTAACCACTGGTTGTTTTGGGGTGTGGCATAAACTATTCACTAATATTTTTGGCCTTGACTACACCTCTGAGACAGGTGCACTAAAATCTAAACCATTCCCATAGCTGGTACGTGTTACTCAGACTACATGTAGTAACTGAGAACTGTGTCATCATGGGGAGGAAAACTAATTATTTCCAGTACCCTCACCCAAGTTTAAGAGTGTGCAAAAACATACCTGCTAGATTTTAATAGGGCTGGTGTTTTCAAAGCTCTCTGTGGTTATGTGATCATGTCTATAAAAGAATATAAAATTTATTGAAGTTGGTAAAGTTACAAACCTACAAAATGAAAGGAATGAGATTCAATGACTTAACATTGACATATTTCAGAAGCAGTTTCCAACCAATGAAAATGGAATTTGTGATTTTAAAACTTTAATACACATTTGGGAAGAAGACTGAATATAATTTATATCCTTCCACTGCTGGTTATTATGGAACCTACAGGGCAGGACTGTGGAAGTGGGTATGTCTAGAATAAGAAGAAAAATACTGATAGAATCCAGGTGTGAGTATAGATTTAGAGCCAGATAACTCTTAAATTCCTAATTAGTGGCCAAGGAGTCAGACAGCCAGGAAGATTGTGGCAAAGTAAAGAATATTGAAATCAACTCTAGAAATAGTAACTAAGCAGTCTTGTTCATGGAAGAGGTCTTATGTGTTCTACAGAGTATGACTCATGGGCAGGCCACAAGGTGAAATAATCAAAACAATAAAAGCAATAGCTAACAGATAATGACTTTTCCTATGTACTAGATACATATCTCATTTACTGTTCTAAACTGATGATTAGGAGGCTATATTTAAATCCCTTTTAACTCATGCCCTTTCAACCTCACCATGCCTCACTCCACCTACTGAGTCTGGTCTCATCTCCCCTACATGCCCATTCTCCTCTGTTTCTATGAAGATCTGCTTTTTGTATACTATAATTTGTGTTTTTTGTTTGTGTGTGTGTTTGTTTGAGACAGGGTCTCACTCTGTCACCCAGGATTGAGTGCAGTGGTGGGATCTCTATCTCGGCTCACTGCAGCCTCTGCCTCAGGGGCTCGATTTGTTATTTTGCTATCCATCTCTATAACATCTAATGCATGTTTCTTTATTCTATCAAACAACACACTTCCCTCTAAGTTTGAACAACAAGTCAAATACATGAAACTTTACTGACTTGCTCCATCTAGCTTTAAATTAGGGGGCAAGATGTCCTTTTAAGTGTTGATCATCAAGTAATTTATTCTGAATATATAAACCCACAAATTTCAGGGCCTTTATTTTAAATAATATCCTCTTCGTAGATATGCATTATTTATTTACTCTGCTATCAGTCACTAAGTGTACTCTACGTTCTTTGTTGAGTTTAGTAAATATCAGTAATTTTAACATTATTTCTTAAAATAGTGTTACTTTCCAAATTAAGTGTTAAAGCTGGAACTTCTTAGAAAGATGCACACCACCCTTTCATGGCCTTTCTCTGCAACTTCATCTCCCAGTAACCTTGCCTTACAAACTATGTTTTAGCCAAATAATTCCCCAATGACAATTGGCTGTTCCATGACACTATGTGTTGCTCATATGTTGTCGTCTTGCTTTTTCACTTTACTAATGACTGATTCTTTCAGACACGCTCAGAGTTGTGTTGATTATCTCTCTTCTGCGGACTCCTTAAGCATAGTATTTGCATATACACACACAATATCTTAGTAAAATTACCTATTTTTGTGTCAGTTTCCTCCAGAGTCATTCTAGCTCTCCAAAGTGAGACACAGATTCTTATGCAACCCTCTATTTCTAGTGCTTGTTCAGTGTCCATGACATGGCACACTCTAAACTAAATAGAGCTCATGTCTCCTATCTCCCTATTACCTCACATTTACTCGTATGATGCAATGAAGATGCACACTGATAGTTTTTTATTTTTAATTTTAGACTATTTCAATCTGTTTCAATTATGTTGTTTTCACGTGCAAGTAACAGAAAGTTCAATTAAATCTTTAAAGAAAGGTCTGTGCCAGTTCATATGAAACTACAAATGCAGAAATAGGTTTTGAAGAATTACTTAATCAGAGTTCCAGCTCAATTTCTAAGTGATTCTGTTCTTTGGCCATAAGTTACTATTCACAAGGTGGGTAAGATGACTACAGCAATTCTAGATATCACCCATACATATTACACTGCTCAGGAAAACAGAGAGAAATGGCATGTCTTCTCCATCCTAGGGACGGGTGGATTTATGCTCCTGTGGTTCACAGCTGAAGCTAATGGTAGACACAGCGTCAGGAATTAATTAAAACCAGGAATCTTAAGTTTAGCACTGTCTAATATGTGATTATCTGTTTAGAATAATATTTTTTACTTTTTGAGATAATTAAATTAAAAACCAAGTTTTATTCTATATCGCACCATTCTTAGAATTCCTCTTAGGTCAGGAAAAGAAATAAAAGAGTTATTGTTAAAAAATATGTTTACACAAAGTTGTTTGTGTTAACACTTAAAATGTTCCAAAAATATTTCATTTTTAAAACTCAAGTAAATCTCCAGGGGATTCCTCAAACTTCAGAATGAAACAAAACAGACAAACAAACAAACATACTATAACTCTTGGGCATATACATATTAAGAGTACAAAAGAAATATTCTTGAAAAATAAAAAAGGCATTATATATTATAATGAACTAGATATTTCAGTACAAGGCTTCTCACTAAAAACATGACTAAAAACAATAGGTAAAATTACCAGTTTTTTACAACATTCTATGAAACAGTCTAAATAAAATTACAGTAATAAGATTAAATATTGAAGAATTTAACCAAGATGAAAAAAGTAATCATTTTATAGGAATCTATGCTCACAATAATTTATATATTTCAAATAAAATTTAATTTTCATATATGACTCTTTCTTTTTTTAAGAGGGACATTTCACAGCACATTTTATAACCACTTTATCTTCATGTTGGGAGTGTGCTATACATATTAAATCTTTTGGAAGTGAAGTAACTATGATCTTCTGGCCAAGGAGAGACCAGATTTCTTTTGAACTTTACAAGCAAGAGTCCTTTTTTTAGTATTCGAACACTTCAAGCTCTGCACTGTTCATTAGTGCATTTATAAAATTTTTTATAATTTATAAAATGCTCACAGACTCTTCTAACACTTCTTAAACTGTCCCTGTGGCTCAAATATCTACAGCGTAAAATCCATACTACTTATGGGTCCATATTACTGATGGATCTTACCTACATCTACTTTAGCAATTGAATCTCACCTCATGCTTTCCCTGCTTACTCTTTTGAAGTTTTTTTTTTTAACTATTTTCTGCAATATCATCTTTATAAAATACTTCTAGGGGTTTGTGCCAACCGTTCTTCCAGTATTTATTACCTCTCTCCTCTTCACTGTTTGGTAAACAGTTTTCCTTTAAGAAATCAGGTCAAACGTAACCTATCTGAAATATCCCTAAACAATTTCCTATTAAAATTTCCTCTATGGTATCATAGAATTAGCTTTATATGTCCAGCAATTCAAAGGGCATGAACAATAGAATGTATTTAACCAATGATTATTGAATTAACAAATCTATTAATCTTGTAAATTTATTTCAAAAATGTAGAAACAAATGTCAGCTTTATGCCTCTATGTTGTTTTTGTGATTTTAAAAAATTATCTGTGAAGATGGAAAATAGTAGACTAACATTTATGATTACAAAGAAAAAATATTGTTGTAATATTAAATTATATTTTAATCTTAAGTTCCTATCCTATAAACTTAACATGGATTTTAAAACATTTTCTGAAACTTATCTCTGGTAAAACATTAAAGACCTGTAAAACTCAAATATCTCTTATGAATTTCTGAGAGTCCTTGAAAATTGCCTACTGCTATAGTCTAAATGTGTCCCTCTAAAATTCACGTTGAAACCTTATCCCCATGGCAGGGTATTAAGAAGTGGAGCATTTTGAGAAGTGATTCATGTATCATGAGCAGAGCCCTCAGGAATGGAATCAGTACCTTTATAAAAGTGGGTGAAGGGCGCTGCCTGCTCCTCCTGCCATGTGAGGCACAGTGTTTGCCCATTTTGCCATGTGAGGACACAGCTAGAGGTGCTGTCTATGAGGAATAGAGACTTTGCCAGGTGGAGAATCTGCTGGGGCCTTGATCTTGGGCTTCACAGCCTTCAGAACTGTTAAAAACAAATTTCTGTTGTTCATAAATTATTCAGTTTAGGGTTTTTTGTTACAGCAGCTCAAACACACTAAGACACCTACCCAATTTCTTTTCTACAGATTCTGCTTGATGTGGAAAAGTGTCCAGGTAAAGATAGCAAATTTCTTATTTCTCTCTTGTTTCTGAGGATTGTCTTATTTCTGATACCAAAGGAAAAACAACGAGGATTTCTGGGTAAATTTTTGCTTTTCTGTTATAGATACTCTATATTGTTTGCTTCTTTTTACTGCTGAAATCTGGTCATGAGTTGGAGGTGAAGAGGTACCATTAAGATTCTAATAATGAAAGTTGCATGTAAAAAAATGGTTGGTTATAAGTTTCTGATCTTCAATGACAACCTAAGATAGCTACAGCAGTCCTGGCCTGACTAGTGTTAGGACTGGTCAGAAATTCCTTTTGAAATTTTTAAATACTTTTATTGTGCTATAATTCATGTATCAATTCTCCCATTTAAAGTATGAAGTTCAATGGTTTTTAGTGTGTTCACAGATAACATGCAACCATAACCAAAGTCAGTTTTAGAATTTTTTCATGAGCTCAAAAGGAAAACCTGTGCCCTTTGCCTATTACTCTCTATACCCTGCTATCCCTAAGACACCACTAATGTATTTTTGTCTCTGTAGATTTTCCTACTCTGGACTTTTATGAATGAAACCATTTGATACATGGTGTTTTGTGATAGACTTCTTTGATTTAGCAAAATGTTTCCAGGTTGATCGATGTGGTATCATGTACCAGTACTTCATTTTCTTATGGCTGAAAAAATATCCCATTGTATTGATATGCCATAGTTTGTTTATCCGTTTATCAGTTGATGGGCATTTGCACTGTTTCCACCTTTTGGCTATTGTAAGTAATGCTGCTATAAATATTTATGTACAATTTTTGTGTGGATTTGTGTTTTCATTTTCCTTGGGTAAATACCTAGAAGTGGAATTGCTGAGTTATGTAGTAATTATATGTTTAATTTATTGGGAAATTTCCAGATTATGTCTTGGAATTAGCTAAACTTCTACAAAAGAAAGTTTCATAAGTTTATGACACTTTAAGATAATGGCTTGTTGTGTCTTCCCTTTATGTTTTGAAAATTCTACCCAATCTTTGCTCGCTGTAATATATGTAATGAACTGTTACATCGATTTGCAACACAAATCATCATGAAAGTATGAATAATTTATATTATATGTTTCATTATACTACTTTCAAAAGGAATCCATTGTATAACAACTTAAAAATTTAGAAAGAAAGCAATCAGGCATTATAAATACAACTCTAAAATATTTACTCCCTGGTCTCCTTAAACTGTGTACCTTTCTATATTGATATACATTAATAACAAAGCTTGATTATTAAACATCGTTTCAGAAAATGTTAGTTGAATAAGAGAAATCATATATATTTAAATTTACTTCTCATTGGCTGGTAAAACGAGATATTGAAATGTGGGGCAGTGAGAAGTAACAAAATGAAAGCAGTTTTGTGTGAGTAATCTTTGAACAATTGAGTCACATTTGGCATAGACCCACTGAAGGGACTGTTTTAGAAATGTACTCTGTCTGTGATTTTATGGCCAGTCCTTAAGGTATAGAATATATTCCATATTACTTATTGTCATAGTGTGCCAAGCTAATAAATTAAAAATTATTAATGTTGAAACTTAAAAAAATGAAAAGATCTTTGCCAAGTTGAGAGAAGTGGATTTGGACTTGCCCAAGCACTAAGAAGCAGAAACATTTATTATGTGCTTCCATCACTTTGTGTGAGGGATACGTGGTGGTATGGATATAGGCTGTAACTTATAACAGATGCCAAAGTAGAAATAGATTTGGAATTTATAAAAATCTTACATTTAAAGGAAATATTTTGCTGGTTGTATTGTATCAGCAATTTAAATATATTTCCTAATACCGTTGTAAGGAGGAATATTTTGAAAGTGCTTAATTCATGAAAAAAAATATGTTAACAAAATGGATATAAATTCTATTTATGGCCAGGAGTCTGCTTTGGGGAACCCCACCCTCACTCACAGCCCAGACTGAGATCCATTAAGGAACCTGACCTGCAGGGGCTTGTGTTTCTGCTACTTCCCCATGGACTAAAGGATAGTGCTGTTCACTGTAGTAAGACAAATATATTTCCTGTTAATTTTTTTTACTGTAAATAAGATGGCTTTTCTTAAATGTAAATAGGGATGTTTCATTTATTTAAATAAAATTTTAGAAATTGGCATTGGATAAAAAAGAAAGGTTTTGCAAATGTGAGAGATAAGGAATTTCACAAAATCGAATCACTAGGTCCAGCAGTTTCTAAGCCAGAAATATGCAACATCTTCTATGTAACTTTTCTAACTACCCATACCCAAATGACACAAATTGATTTTATTTCTTAATTGTATATTGAGTTTACCATCCAATCTAAGGCAGACACTATTTGTCACCTATGTTACTGTTGTATGTGTAACATATATTGATAAGGAAGAGAGATTATATGAGTTACAATTAGGTTTTTCTCAGTATTATTTCTCCATGTCCCCAGCTTTCCTCCACAACAAATATTCACAAAATTTTCTTTTGTATCTTTCAAAAATACCCCACGGAAATACAAATCAAGTTATGCACATGAAAGCATATTGATACGTGTTTACGTTGTTTATACAGGTTGTAGCGTATTTTCTACAATGTTCTCCAATTTGTATATTTCACTTAAAAATATATATTAGAGATAATTTCATGACAGTTCTTATAGAACCAATATTTGGTTTAATGGTAGCGTAGTATTCTTCTGTATAAACCTAATGGCCAGGCGTGGTGGCTTATGCCTGTAATCCCAGCACTTTGGGAGGCCCAGGCGGGCGGATCACGAGGTAAGGAGATCGAGACCATCCTGGCCAACATGGCGAAATACCGCCTCTACTAAAAATACAAAAATTAGCCAGGTGTGGTCGTGGGCACCTGTAATCCCAACTACTTGGGAGGCTGAGGCAGGAGAATTACTTGAACCCAGGAGGCGGAGGTTGCAGTGAGCTGAGATCGCGCCACTTCACTCCAGCCTGGACGACAGGGTGAGACTCCGTCTAAAAAAAAATAAAACAAACAAACAAAAACAAAACAAAACCTAACACATTTGGTACATTATACAATAGGAAGTTCTTGCTACATTTTACATATACATTATACAATGAATATCCCTTATTAATGAATATATATTTCCAATTTTTTGGTTATTATAAATAAACATGTTCCAACGTATATTCATATTCATACAATTTTGGACACTCGGAGAGTAAAATAAATTCTTGGAAATGGTTGTATATCTTTTACTCTTTGATTTATATTGGCAAAATGCTCTCCACAGAGGCTCTGTCAATTTGCCCTCCCACCAAAAATGTCCGAAGTTGTCTGTTTTTCTTCCTCCTTGTGAATAGAATATGTAACCAATTTGTAAATCTCTATCGATGTGATTGGTGAAAAACAACTTAGTCTAATTTTCCATTTCCCTTATTGTAGGTTAGATTATGTATATTTTCACAAGTTTAAAAGCCCTTTGTTTTTCTTTTTATGTGTACTATTTATGTCGTTTTGCCCATTTATAATTGGGTCTTGTTGATTTTTAGGAACATTTAAATATAAATTAAAATCTGGTCTTTTTTGGATATAGATGCTTGTTTGGACTTTTTTTTTTTAAAGGCTCTATTCCAATCATTTTATAATTTGTATGGAGTCATATTTATACCTTTTGATCTGTTAGAACTGTGTAACTTTCCTTCTCCTTAGTCTCTGCCGGCACCCAGCCCAATGCTCAGCCATAGAAGACACTACATGAATTTTAAAAATTGAAAAAAATTGTTTAATTAAACTGTGAAGATTTTTTGAAATACAAAAATCTAATTTATTTGTACTTAGTATCTATTAGATTATAAACTTTTTGAAGGAAGAATTTATTCTTTAGTCTTATTTCCTATTTTTCAAATAAAAGTATAGATTGAAGTTTGGATGAAAGCATGAACAAGTTTGTGGAAGGCAGACATTTTTAAATGTTGAAATTTAAATTCGATTTTTAATAACGATGTTGTCCATGTTTCATAAATAGAAGTTATTTAAATAATTTTAGTTTCATTCAAAAAATAGTTGAAATGACTTCTACCATCTCACAAAAGAACTAAGTTACCACTTACGGTGAAAATTCATGAATTGAACAGATCAGATTAGATTTACTATTGACGGTTGAATTAAAACAGTTTAGTTGATATTAAATAATTATTTCAAATAATTAGCATATGTTGAAGACCACTTAATACCCTATCATGTTTTCCAAAATTTTAGGATTTAGAAAGCCATTTATGCTGCACTTAAACATCAAAACAAATTTTGCCATTAAAAAAAACAAAGCATCTCATCATCCATAAGCTGAGTTAAGGATACCAACAGTGAATCCCACATATGAAAGAGATTCAAATATTTGCTAAATTACTCATATTTTTATTAATTATTTTCCTTTTTAAAATTTATCAACCCACTTATCAACAATAGCCATTCTGACTGGTGTGAAATGGTATCTCATTGTGGTTTTGATTTGCATTTCTCTAATAATTAGTGATGTTGAGTATTTATTCATATGCTTTTGGCAGTATGTCTACTTTTGAAATGTTTTTATTCATGTTCTTTGACCATTTTTTTAAATGAGGTTGTTTGTTTTTTGCTTGTTGATTTGTTTATGTTCCTTATAAATTCTGTATATTAGGGCTTTGTCAGAGGCATGTTTTGCAAATGTTTTCTCCCATTCTGTACATTGTCAGTTTACTCTGTTGATAGTTTTGCTTGCTTGCTTTGTTTGTTTTGCTTTATAGAAGCTCTTTAGTTTAAATAGGTCCCACTTGTCTATTTTTGGTTTTGTTGTAATAGCTTTTGGAAACTTCATCATGAAATCTTTGCCAAGGCCTAGGTCTGGATTGGTATTTCCTAGATTTTCTTCTAGAGTTTTTATCGTTTTAGATATTATATTTAAGTTGTTAATCCCTCTTGAGTTGATTTTTGTGTGTGCTGAAAGGAAGGGGTCTAGTTTCAATCCTCTGCATATGGCTAGCCAGCTATACCAGAGCCATTTATTGAGCAAGGAGTTCTTTCCCCATTGGTTGTTATTGTTGACTTTGTCAAAAATCAGATGGTTGTAGGTGTTTAGCTTTATTTCTGGGTTCTCTAACCTGTTCCATTGGTCTGTATGTCTGTTTTTGCACCAGTACACTGCAATTTTTGTTACTGTAGCTTCGTAGTATAGTTTAAAGTCAGGTGGTATGATGCCTCTGGCTTTGTTTTTTTTTTTCTTCAGATTACATTGGCTACCTGGACTCTTCTGTGGTTCCATATGGATTTTATAATAGTTTCTTCTAATTCTATGAAAAATGATATTGGTAGTTTGATAAGAACAGCATTGAATCTGTAAACTGCTTTGGGCAGTGTGACCATTTTAAAAATATTGATTCCTCCTATCCATGGGCATGACATGTTTTTTCATTTGTCTGTGTCATGTCTGATTTCTTTCAGCAGTGTTTTGTAATTCTCACTGTAGAAATTTTTCACTACCCTGGTTAGCTGTATTCCTAGGTATTTTATCTTATTTTTGGCTATTGTGAATGGGATTGAGTTATTGATTTGGCTTGATTTGATTCTCAGTTTGGACAGTATTGTAGTATAGAAATGCTACTGATTTCTATACATTACTTTTGTATCCTGAAACTTTACAGAACGTGTTTATCAGGTCTAGGAGCCTTTGGTCAGAGACTGTGGGGTTTTCTAAGTATAGAATCATATTATCAATTATGGAGATAGTTTGACTTCCTCTCTTTCTATTTGAATGGCTTTTATTGGTTTGTCTTGCCTGATTGCTCTGGCCAGGATTTCCAGTACTATGTTGAATAGGAGTGGTGGGAGTGGGCATTTTTGTCTTGTTGCAGTTCACAAGTGGCATACTTCCAGCTTTTGCCCATTCAGTATGCTGTTGGCTGTGGGCTTGTCATAAATGGCTCTTATTATTTTTAGGTATGTTCCTTCAATGCCTAGTTTGCTGAGGGTGTTTAATATGAAGGATGTTGAATTTTATTGAAAGCCCTTTCTGCATCCATTGAGATGATCATGTATGTTTTGTTTTTTGTTCTGTTTATATGAGTTACATTTATTAATATTAATTTGCATATATTGAACCAACCTTGCATTCCAGGAATAAAGTCTATTTAATCATGGTGTTAGATTTTTGATGTGCTTTTAATCATGATTAATAAAGTCTATTTAATCATGAGTTTAACTTTTCAATTTGCTAGTATTTTGTTAAGGAGTTTTGTGTCTATAATGTTTGTTTATGCCTAAAGTTTTCTTTTTTCATTGTGTCTCTGCTAGGTTTTGGTATCAGGATGATACCGGCATCATACAACGTGTTAGGGAGGAGACCCTGCTCCTCGATTTTTTGGGATGATTTCAGCAAGATTTGTACTAGTTGTGAATCCATTTGGTACAGAGTTTTTTCTAGTTTATAGGGTTTTTTTTTTAATTACTGATTCCATTTAGAACTCATTATGGTCTATTTAGGTATTCAGTTTCTCCCTGGTTCAATCTTGGGAGGTTAAAGGTTTCCAGGAATTTATCCATTTCTTCTAGTGCTTCTAGTTTCTGTGCACATAAATGTTTGTAATAGACTCTGAGGGTTTTTTTTTTTTTTTTGTATTTTTGTGGGCTTGGTGGTAATGTCATCTTTGTCATTTCAGATTGTGTATATTGGGATACTATCTTTTTATTACTCTGGCTACTATCTATCAATCTTATTTATTCTTTCAAAAAACCATTTTTCCATGAATTTTCACATCTCAATTTTGTTCCATTCAGCTCCGATTTTGGTTATTTCTTTTCTTCTGCTAGCTTTGGGACTGGTTCACTCTTGTTTTCCTAATTCCTCTAGATGTGATGTTAGTTGTTAATTTGAGATCTTTCTAACTTTTTGATCTAAGCATTTAGGACCATAAATGTTTGTCTTAACACTGCTTTAATTGAGTCTGCAAGATACTGGTATGCTGTATTTTTATTTTTAGTAGTTTCAAATAATTTCTTGATTTCTCAAATGTCTATGGGGATCATGGGGTCTCCTGCAGCTGGGATTCTGGAAATCCATTGGTGAGAGTGAGTCACTCCACACCTATTTCACTTACTCCTTCCTTGGGAGCCACTTGGGCCAAGAAATGAGTCCTGGTGCTTGGAAACCCCATGTGTTTTTTCCAGCTTTCTACTCTTCCAGCCCTGGGTCTGCATCCTTCCTCTTTCCACACTCAATGCCATCTTTCTGAAAATCTGTTTGGAGTGTGCCAGTCTACTGATGATCTGGTCTTTCTAGGTGAGAAAAGCTCTTCTTGGCTGTGCCTATTCAGCCATCTTGGCTCTTCCTAAATTTGGATAATCTACAAATCACAGATTTTTTGAACTAATCTAAGATTCTGAGGCTACTGGACAATCAGTCTTAAGTCTAAGGAAACATGGGTGCTTTCCAAGAGAGATAGGACATGAGCACTGGTTCATCTGCACAAAAGTATAAAGGAAAGACACATAGGGTACAAGCAAATTGGTAAAAAAAAAAAAAAAAAAAAAAGCTAAATATTTTAACACATTTCTAAATGTTAATTGTTGTTTAGTATGAAAGTACAGAATTGTAGCCACAGACACAAAGAAAGATTGCACCTAATCTTTTGTCCATGTACCTCTCCAGGTGCTTACAAGAAAGGTTTAGGATACCAGAGACAGCTCCTGCTTAATGCAAGCATTGGGGAGAAATTTACCAACCACTGTGAGAAAGGCACAATGAACTTGTGTATCATTATTGCCTTTTTGGCACAAAGTCCCAACTAGATCATTCTTGTCTGTCTACACATTGAAAAAAAAAAGCCTTGCACCACTGAAAGAGGGACACAATATATTATATCTTTCAGGAAATACATGGAAATCCATTGTAGTGTGGGAAAATAAAGAGAAAAAAAGCACTTGATGTTGGGACAAAGTAGGACATTAGAAGTCCTCTACCACAGTGGAGGCAGGATCACTGAAAAAGACCTAAGACCTGGGAATATAGGGTTTGCCTAAGACTGATGCTAAAGCAGAACAAGAGAAAAGCCTCTCCATTCCCCAGCACCATACTACCAAGTAATGTGTGTTAAGTAATATCAGTCTACTGCTGAAAGAGAGGCAACAACACAGAGAGAGGTCTTCTCTGATTAGTAAGGCTATAAAAAAATATAGAACTAAAGACAGAACAGAATCGTTGAGGAAATCTCCCTGAAACTAAGGTCCTGTCATAAGCTCAAAGAAAAGCTAGAAAACATTTAAACCAATGGTGTCCCCAAATCATTGCAACAGCAAAACCTAAATCTTGCTCAAACCCTGACTAGATTAACTCAATCTGCCAGGCTAAAAGTCTAGCATAAAGAGACATGTTCATTTCACACATAAGCAATATTTATTTTCATCTATATTGTCTCAGACACAATGTCCAGTATCTATCAAAAAATTACAGAACAATGAAGTGAGAAAAACAATATGCTGGCAAGATATATTGGAATCAATAAAACCAGGTCCATATATGATCCAAATATGGAACTATGGAACTATGAAACAGAAAATTTAAAATAACTAAAATTACTGTATTTAAAAACTTTTTTTAAAAAAAGTGGATAGCATGCACATACTAGAGTTGAGAAAAAAATTATAAAAACAGATTTTATTTATTTATTTATTTATTTTGAGATGGAGTTTCGCTCTTGTTGCTGAGGCTGGAGTACAATGGCACGATCTCGGGTCACCACAACCTCTACCTCCCAGGTTCAAACGATTCTCCTGCCTCAGTCTCCCAAGTAGCTGAGATTACAGGCATGCGCCACCAAGCCTGGCTAATTTTGTATTTTTAGTAGAGATGGGGTTTCTCCATGTTGGTCAGGCTGGTCTCAAACTCACAACCTCAAGTGATCTGCTCACCTCAGCCTCCCAAAGTGCTGGGATTACAGGCGTGAGCCACTGTGCCTGGCCAAAAACAGATTTTAAATTTCATCAGAATGATGAAAACTGTAAGGAAGAAAGAGAAATGATGGATATATGAAACATAGTAGTTGAAATAAGAAAAATGCCTTTGACAAAGAAAGAAGAATTGGTAAATATGAAGATAGTTCAATAGAAAGAAACTAGGCTAAATCACAAAGAGCAAAAAGAAAAGACTAATGCATGCAAGACCTTAGGGACGACATTAATCAGTCTAACATAGGTGTAATAGGAGTCACAAAAGAAGAAGAGAAGCAAAACATGGAAGGGAAATACTGTAAGTTAGTGGCTGAGAATTTTTCAAAAAATAATGAAAGATGTGAAACCACAGATCAAAGAAATTCATAGAGAACCAAGCAGAATAAACTGACTAGCTATTTAACTAAATAAATAAATCACCTAAAATAGCATATGAAAAATGCTAAAAACTAAAGGTAAAAAGGAAATCTTGAAGGAATCCAGAAAAAAATAACATATTTAAATACAGAATAATATATATTTTACGTATCTGTATATATATATGTATATATATATATATATATATATATATATATGTCTATGAATGATAGCAGACTTCTCAAGACTGCATTCAAAATTACAGAAACCAGAGGAAGTGACATGTTTAAAATGCCAAACAGACCAGAAAAGGTCAACCCAGAATACTTTACCAAGTATAAATAACTTTCAAAAATAAAAGAGAAGGCTTGTTTCAAACAAACAGACAGGAGATAATTTATAACAATAAACACCTACAACAAAAATATTAAAAGAAGTTCTTCAGGCAAAATTAATATCATAGCAGATAAAAACTTGTATCCACACAACTGACTGAGGAGCAATGGGAGTTTTATGTATAAATAAAAGTACATATAATACAAAGAAAATTAATTTTCTTTCTTATTTTAATTGTTCTATTGACTAATGAATAATGAAGCTTAATGAGAGCTTCAACATATTCAGCTCACAGTTGGACTCTGTTTCAAACCTGAAATGTAGTTATTCTGTGTGGTGGGTTGTTATCCAAAGCTGAATGTTAAAAATCAAATATTTATTATTTGCTTTAATGTAGATTGGCGTCTAAAAATATTTAATCAACAAGTGAACTAAATGACAATTCTTATCCCCTGTTACTCATCATCAATACTGAATAAGCCAATTTAAAATTATTAAAGTTATTTCCTTCTTACAGCTTGTGAAAACAATTATAAGGAAAATGTTGGAGAAGAGGAAATGGAGATATAAAGAAAATAATGATTGTCTACTTGAAACAGAAAAATTACTGTCTTCAACCAGATAGATTTAATCAAATTTCAGTGATAATAAAAAAGTCTTATATGAAGTCTTATATGAAGGATATAATTTTGATAACATGAAAGCCAACAATTAGCAACTAAAGGCCTTAACACTCATAGTTCATAATTCAAAAACAAATAGTGCTTTTCCAACAGTATCTGTCATTGAAATCCAGGTACATGTTTGTTAGTAAAACAGAGTTTAATAGCAAGGTGAACATTTCTATTCAGTACTCTTTCTAGAATTTTGCTAATAAAGATATAAAGGAAAGAAGGTTGAATGCCAATAAATCTATGTTGGCAAAATGTTCATAGAGATTTAATGTCAAATATAAATCTTTTACTTCCAATTTTATTAAAGAGCCCCATAACTATGCATCATTTAGAGATCAGTGCATAATTCCAACATCCAAGGTTATTGTAACCTGAGGAAAAACCATTCTTAGTGATTAAAACTTCTAACTTATCAAATATTCGGTTGGTTTATTTTTCAGGGAAATTATACTAGCAAGTATCTCTGTGTGATGCAATATTTATATGTTCTTCTTGACAATTTTGGACAGGAAGCTGTCAACTGAGGAACAAAATCTAAAACATATCACAAAAGAGTGTATTTTGCAAAAACATGAGCCTTTCAATCAGAGGCTATTCAAGGGAGCATATGAGATCTCTTTGAGAAAACACAGTATCTGCAATACAGGGAGAAAAATTAAACTAATGATGTAAAAGCGCTAGTCTTCAAAGAAAATGATTCAGATTTAAGCTGCAATTGACAGAAATAATTGCCTGGTCTTATCGCTTTATCAACATATAGCTTTCACTTTCTTGGTGGTTGGTTTTGAAAAATTGATATTAATTAGATAATTAATTATGTATTATTAAAATTCCTGTGTAAAAAGAAGCCTTCTGTAGGTTCTTAATACACAATGACTTTCTTTACAATAATTGGCAAGTAAAGTAAAATGAAGTACAATGTATGGGAATTTTGTGAATTTATTTTACTCCTCAAACATTAATGTCATATGTATCATTTAACTTATTAAGTTTAAAATGTACAGATACCATTTTAATTTTAGATGTAACACTAAATTGTGAAATTTCAGGGGCACCAATTTACTTACTGAAATATAAATGGATATGCTATTTTAGCAGGAGTTGTTCTGGTAGTCTGTATGAGCAAGCTCATCATCCTTTTCTGCATATAATATAATATATGCTTTAATAGGCCAGAGATCACCAGGGAAATAACACAGAAAAAATGGAGTTTCAAAAGTAAACATACGCTTCTTTATACACAATAAAGAAAAGAAATCAGTACTTAAATACCATTAGGATTAAGAGCTTCTTCATCAAAAATAGAGACAACAGACGTGTTGAGGGAAAATTAATATAGAAACAAAATAGCAAATATAACATTGAATAGAAAAAATTAGCTAATTACAGTCTTTCATCTCTGCTTACTAGAGAAGCAAAGCCCAATTTTAAAGAAATGGAAATTGTTAGTGAATGCCAAGTGGATTTTTCCATGTGTTAAAGCTCTTTGGCGTAGAACCTATATGTATTTATCCAGATGTTAAATGTGGGAATTATGATGTTTAATGGTAACTGGAAGTGCATTTGAAGTACAGAATAGTAATAAAATATAGGTAACTATTTTTGCAAAAAACAATTCTATTTCATTCCTAAAGGAATCTAGGATCATACTCTGTTATAAATGTTAAAAAAATGGAGGTACAAACAAACACAAAATTGCATTACTTCTAAAGTTCACACTTTAGTTCACAAAATAGATTGAAATTTTCTAAAAAAGGTTGGATGTGAAATATTCAATAGTCTCTAAAAGATACATTTTAATATTATATGTTTAGGAATAACATTTTCTGAGTGTGCTCTGGTAATTCTTTCCATAGGAGGCTATAGGAGTGAGGCAGTACTGTACGGTGGGTAAGAACACGCACTCTGGGTCACCCAGATCTGGGTTGTAACCCAGTCCTACCATGTATAAACTGTGTGAACTTGAGAAGATCACTAACCTCTCAGAGCCTCAGTGTCCTTATCTGTAAAAAATGATGAGTACCCACCCCAAAGAACTCCTGTGAGTATTAAAGTCAATCAATTCAAATGATTATGATTATTATAATCAACAAGAAATTCTGTTCACAGTGTACTAGGTTGATTATGATTATTATGACCATCAAAAATGACCAAGTGTATAACAGAATAATTACACTCTTCTTGTTTCATGAAAGATATTACCACCAATGGTGCCCCAAGGTTTGGCTGATACCACTGAGAGATCTGTTGTCACATAAGAGGTGCCCCCCAACCCCAAATCATTCAGTTTTCAGTGAGCTTCAAGATCATTTTACCTCCATGCCTTGTGACTCTGAAAGTCCTTTTATCTCATTAGTTTCCTTAGTCTTCAGGAGCATAGTGAGTATGTGAAGAATCTAACATAAGATTGAGAAAAGTAGGCAGGTGCTAGGTTCGTATAGATTCTTGAAGATCATGCTAAGGAATTTTGTTTGTGTGCAATGATAAATGCATGAAAATATCACCATGGTTGCTGGGAGAAGGAAAAAAAGTGGCACTAATATTTGGTAAACACATATGGTACAATGATAATCAGCCGTGTAAATTCAGATTGAAATCTAAAACGGGGGAGAATCTCATAAGAATTTATATAAAAAGTAAATATGTTCTAAAGATATATAAAATACAAATTATCTAATTCATTTTTCAATATTTAACTTTTGCTCCAAAAATGTTTGAGAAATGGTTCTCAAAATGACTAAGCTAATAAAAAAATTAATATTTGGTTAACTTCCACTTTGTAACTCATGTTCTAGAAACTACATTTTATTTCTGTTACTTATTCCTCTCTTTGCTTTAACCATTATTAGTTTTCTTAAAAAGTCAGTTAAAATTATGTCAAGAACACATTAATCCTTGATATTCTACTAATCTTTACATCATTCTGAAACCTATTATTCAGACTAAATGAGCAAGTTCTCATGGAGTACTAATAAGAATAAGGTCAATGTTTTCATCTCCATAGTACATTAAGTAGCTTTGCTCAAAGCAAAACTCATGGTCTCAGACTCACCATTAATTCATCTAAGTTCATTTAAAAATTTTGCATTAGTCAAGGGTTGGGTTCCAGAACTTGATTATAATTGCTAGAAGTCAATCACAGAGGGGTAATTAAAAATGAATTGCTCCTTACTTAACTGAGAAAGCAGAAACTCAAAAAGGAACATTGGCTCCCACTGAAGAGAATGAGATTGAATGTCAATGACCCCGCTTCCAAGCCCAGTACTGTCATTATCTAATTTCCGAGAATGACTGGTTAAAACATTTTAGCTTAAAAAATAAAGTAAATAGTAATAATAATAAAGAGAAGAAGTAAAAATGTATTCCCCTCAATTTATTAAATAAGTGAAGTACATGGAATATAAGTCTAACTTTTGCAGAGAGGAAGGTCATTAGGATCTTTAGCATTTCCAAGAAACTTATCTTCTAGTTCTTACAAATATCCTTAGTGGGGTCTATAGTGGATTTACTTATTTTGCATAATATGATTCCCAAGTTCAAAAGGAGAAAACTTGCTGAGAAGAAGGTCTCTGGTGGTTAAGCAAGCAATTCCTTAGTATTCAGCAATAACAAATGCAACGAAGAAAAAATAGAATACCAATTATATCCAATGCAAAAGATTGGAAAGACAGACCCTATTTGGTCAATAACATCTTATAATGATAGAAATTCAGGGAAAGTCCACAAGCAGAAAAGTATGACAAAGCAAATGAGAAATAAAGTAATGAAAACTATAAGAGAAAATAACATTATCACAAGGCAGCAAGGGTCATTATTTAGTCCAATGCTCCACATTCACAACTGAATCTCTAGCTTTTTCTATGCAGCACAGTAAAATGATTTGAGAAAAAGGCACAACATTCTATATTTGGGGGGAATAGTTCTACCAAGAAAGGTTTACATTTTAAAAAGGAGGGGAAACAAAGTTTTATAGAACATTAACTTGCCCGACGTCACTTATTTCTCGGGGTTGTTGCATAATTGAGTTTTTAACTTTTCCTTTCAATGACATAACATGAAGTGTTGCATTTATTATTGTTTAAATTATATTGTTATGTAAATATTTGGTCTCTTCTTGTTTAAAAAAATTATTTCTTACAGAGGTATTATGTAAAAGTACAATAGCTTGTATTTAGTAAGTCTTCAATAATTACATATTGATTGATTATATTGTACATTGATTACTGATAAAATTATGTTTATTCCTACTTTCTTAGTTAAACTTTAACTCATTCATTCACATTCTAATTAAACTGGATATTGAATTTTTAAATTAGGAATTATAAACCTAAAACACATTGCTAACATTTATCAAAAATGAATAGTTAAAACATGAATAGATCCATACTAATGCTGTAACATTACACATAAAAAACTCTCACTTCTAAGTATTTTCACTAATTTAATTATTAGGATTTACTGATAGATTTCCAACTTAAGTAAATTAATATTGAAATATATTGTCAGTGTTAAATTTTAGAAGTGTATTGAAATATCATTCAAAAAAAGTCCTTTCCTTCCTTCCTGTGTCTTCCTTCTTTTCCATTCTTGCTGTCAGCCCCATATTTCAGTCTCTTTTTACTCTCTTTAGTATTATGTAGTGGCCTAAAATTATGAAGTCACCTTCATGCCTACATCTTTTACCAACTTCAGCTATTGAATATTGCTGAAAAATTAATTCTTCTAAAGCATGTGTATGTTGTTGTGTCACTAGCCTGTTAGTATCTCCATTGGCTTTCCTGATGAATGAGGTCCACGCTTCTCATCTTAGCCTTCAAAGTTCCCCACAAGGGGGCCACAATCTAACATTAGTGCTGGCTGTGTACCAAACACACTGAACAATTAACTACTCTATAAATTACTCATGACATGTGAATACTTGACTCCATTCTCTCTATCTGAATGCCTTGCCTTCTGTATTTCTGTATGCCAAAATATTATTCGGCCTCAAAGATGAGCTAGTTATTTTCCGGTGAATACCAATGGATTTTATTTGAGTCTGTCATATTGTTTTATCATCCTATCATAGTTTTGTGATTATGTTCAATGTCTCAATTTATTTGGAAAACTACCCAGTAGGGGTTGTTTTGTTTTCCTTGCAATCTCCTCTCTGCTCAGCATTGTACTTTTTTCACAGTAGATTCATTAAATATTAGTTAAATAGTTGAACTGAAATGTAAATGTGCCTTACTTTCCAAGTTGCCTTACTCAGAACTGAATATTAAATGTTTTGAAGTTGATGTAATTTGTATCCCTATGTTACTAAACCAAAATAGAAATTGTCCCATTTTGCATTTGTTCCCATTGTTTTCCATGGAATTGTCAAATGCTAAAATCTGATTTCAATTAGAAGAAATAGATAATGCATATAATTAGTGGTCTTGGAAGGATAAAAGAAAAATAAGCCACATTCCTATCTCATTAGAAATAAGAAAATTTGCTTTCTGAGGTGCTGGCTAACCATGAACCAAATCTCTGGGAGAATTTTTACCAATGAGTAAAGTCTCTCATTCAGTGGTTGTATTTATTGCCTAAAAAAGTGATTCTTAATTTTTTGGAGGTTATTTTTGTTTCATGATACTCATTCATCCTAAATATCCTTTCTTTAGAGTATTTGTGATTTCAAAAAAGATTAAATGAATTAAGATCTACTTTGTTCTGAAATCTTTAAGGGATAGTGGGGCTTGAGATTTCTATGATGCTGTTGAAAATAATTTTGGACATTCCGGGTTATTGCACAAGCAGATTGAGAAGCTCTGGCTTATGTCATTCAATGGTGCCACTTTCTTAACAAGAACACATATTGTGCATTTTATAAACATCTAGCCAGAATTAAATACGTAATCAGATTTTCAGCACTTTGAATCAAAATTTAATGATATGGTGAATCTAAGAAAATTTTTGGTTTGACTTGCGTAATTCATTAAGTCTCTCTATATAACCTTTTTACATTTATTAATAGCCACTAAAACATTTGACATTTCTTATTTGTTAAGTTTAAGTAATTCAAACAATACATTTTCCATCCAATGATAATTCCTTTTGTCTAAATATCATTTTATTAGAACCAGAATTTTTCCTGCATGTTGCTGCTTTACTCAGTGAACATTTGCATAATGTCAAACATTTGTTGTCCATGTTTTTTTTTTCACACCCTTTAAATTCTTTCAGCCCTTTTCTCTCTTACTCATCAGTTGGCTTAGATGAGAAGAATTACTTTTACCTGTTTGAATATGTCAATTCCATATATTTACAGAATACCTCTCTTCTTCATATTCCCATCAACTTTCTGAGACAAATATACCCAGAATGTTAATGTGGTTTTAAAAGAAACATACATAAACAAGTTATTGTTAAATTAATTATCCAAGAATAAAAATGGCTTTTAACACGTGTTCCATTATCCATCCACACAATGAAGACAAGCTGTTCTCTACTACTTTACAGAATTTGGCAGAGGAAGACTTTGAACTGTGAACTGAAGAAGAGAGAGAAAAGAACTCTATATAGATAGTTTACATATGTGTCCATGAGATTTTTCCTAGTGTGCACTAAAGTCTGTAGAAAATAACTTACAATGTCCTTGGTATTTCATGTGCTGTTTTATTGTCAATGTGGTAAAATTTCCATTGGCATAATTAATTTTACATTAAATCTCACCTTCCACTTTTGTGAAATTTTTTAAACAGTTGAGAGAAAACACTGCGTAAACAGAATTTTTTGGCAGCCTTGTACGACCTATGTGCTCTGAGAATCAGAGTTGGTGTGGTGGCCACCTCTCACTTACTTTTCCCCCATGTAAATTCTGCATTTTGGCAAACAAAAAAATGCTGAATGCCAAAGTTATGATAGAAAGTTCATGATGGTAATTTGTGAAATTTAAAATATAAAACAATTGTGGAAAATAGTCACCATACCTTATGTGAAAAATATCCTTGATATGAGCATATTCAATGTTGTTTAACAATATTTTAAAATGAGTTAAAACAGCAAAATGTGGATTTAATTCTCAAGAAAGGCCTTTCCAGATTAAAACACATAAGTAGACACAAACACATAGATGACACAATTTGATATGAAGTTAAATCTACCCACTGGAGCATACATCTCTTCACAGCTCTGCAAGACTGCTGGTTTGGTCTCCCGTTTTTAAGAACGGGAAAATCACTTCTCATAATTATACAACAAAGAGAGATCTTTTTCTTTTTTTAAATTTTTTTTAAATTATACCTTAAGTTCTAGGGTACATGTGCACAATGTGAGGGTTTCTTACATATGTATACATGTGCCATGTTGCTGTGCTGCACCCATTAACTCGTCGTTTACATTAGATATATCTCCTAATGCTATCCCTCCCCCTTCCCCACCCCATGACAGGCCCCGGTGTGTGATGTTCCCCTTCCCGTGTCCAAGTGTTCTCATTCTTCAATTCCCACCTGTGAGTGAGAGCATGCAGTGTTTGATTTTTTGTCCTTGTGATAGTTTGCTCAGAATGATGGTTTCCAGCTTCATCCATGTCCCTACAAAAGACATGAACTCATCATTTCTTACAGCTGCATAGTATTCCATGGTGTATATGTGCCACATTTTCTTAATCCAGTCTGTCATTGATGGACATTTGGGTTGGTTCCAAGTCTTTGCTATTGTGAATAGTGCTGCAATAAACATACATGTGCATGTGCCTTTATAGCAGCATGATTTATAATCCTCTGGGTATATACCCAGTAATGGGATGGCTGGGTCAAATGGTATTTCTAGTTCTAGATCCTTGAGGAATCGCCACACTGACTTCCACAATAGTTGAACTAGTTTACAGTCCCACCAACAGTGTAAAACTGTTCCTACTTCTCCACATCCTCTCCAGCACCTGTTTCCTGACTTTTTAATGATCACCGTTCTAACTGGTGTGAGATGGTATCTCATTGTGGTTTTGATTTGCATTTCTCTGATGGCCAGTGATAATGAGCATTTTTTCATGTGTCTGTTGGCTGCATAAATGTCTTCTTTTGGGAAGTGTCTGTTCATATCCTTCGCCCACTTTTTGATGGGGTTGTTTGTTTTTTTCTTGTAAATTTGTTTGAGTTCTTTGTAGATTCTGGATATTAACCCTTTGTCTGATAAGTGGATTGCAAAAATTTTCTCCCATTCTGTAGGTTGCCTGTTCACTCTGATGGTAGTTTCTTTCTTTCTTTCTTTCTTTTTTTTTTTTTTTTTACAAGGTCTAGGGCCCTTTATTTTATTTTAGTTCTGGATTACATGTGCAGGTTTGTTACATAGGTAAACATGTGCCATGGTGGTTTGCTGCACTTATCAACCCATCACCTAGGTATTAAGCCCAGCATGCATTAGCTATTTATCCTGATATTCTGCCTTCCCCAGCCCCTCCCCAGAAAGGCACCAGTGTCTGTTGTTCCCCTTCCTGTGTCCATGTATGTTCAGCTCCCCCTAATACATGAAAACATGTGATGTTTGGTTTTCTGTTCCTGTGTTAGTTTGTTGATGGTAGTTTCTTTTGCTGTGCAGAAGCTCTTTAGTTTAATTAGATCCCATTTGTCAATTTTGGCTTTTGTTTGCATTGCTTTTGGTGTTGTAGACATGAAGTCCTTGCCCACGCCTATGTCCTGAATGGTATTGCCTAGGTTTTCTTCTAGGGTTTTTATGGTTTTAGGTCTAACATTTAAGTCTTTAATCCATCTTGAATTAATTTTAGTACAAGGTGTAAGGAAGAGATCCAGTTTCAGCTTTCTACATATGGCTAGCCAGTTTTCGCAGCACCATTTATTAAATAAACCATTGCTTGTTTTTATCATGTTTGTCAAAGATCAGATGGTTGTAGATGTGTGGTGTTATTTCTGAGGTCTCTGTTTTGTTCCATTGGTCTGCGTTCAAAATAAGTTTCCTGACACTTTAAATAGAGGATCATATTATTTATAAGTAGTATTCATTTCCCCACCCTCACTTATAAATAGTCCCTTACTTAAAAGCAATTTCCTAGACTTGCTAATTATTCAGATGCATTTGATATGCTGCACAATATCCACCAAAATGCTACAATCTAGCCTAAATCCTAGTTAAAAAAAAAATGAAAGGAGGAAAACAAAGATAAAGGAAAACATGGGAGATGTGTCGGAAAATCAGACTGACAAAACAATTCATGTTCTCACCCATGCTGAATTTAACTCATTTCTCAGTTCTTGATATTAACTTAGACAGTGACCAGGCAACACTCTCACTGCTAATGGCATCACATTTATACAGAAGTACATAATTACTATACTTTTATAATATAGGATTATGACTTTTATAATAAACATCCAACTCAGCCTATTCCACTTGTATTTCGGTTACCTAAAGCATAGTGTCAGGGGGAAAGGAGTTTGTTATATGTTATTTTTTAAAAAATTTTTACTTCTCATCATTTGAATTTAAAGAATCTGTTTTTAACTTAACAAGAACAGTTTTGAGATTTCTTGTAACTCTTAGGTCCAAAGCTGGGTAGAATGTGTTCTTCTAAATGAAACGTGGGTGAAAGTGTTGTAGTGGACATGCATGGCTGGAACAAAGCTGGCTGGTCAGCCTGCCACAGCCACGTTGAGAAAGGGGAATAAGAAAGAGCTAACGTGATTTTTAAAGAGGTGCCTATGCTCAGTGATGGTTTCTGCCAGATTTAGTCATGTGCAAATTTTTATGTTTTCAGAATTAGGCCATTTATTATTCTGCTCCGTGAAAATTAATTAGACGCTAATTAAATCCCAGGCATGGTAAACAAATCATGGTTTCATGGAGTTTATAATCTAGTGAGAAAGACAAACATTAATCAAACTAGCATCATACAAATATATGCTTTTTTATATATAGCAATAAATATATTCTTGGATACTATGGAGAATTAGGTGTGTGAGACTGTGAGAATGTAACGTAAGAGTGTTTGACCTGACCTATAAGGCCCAGAAAGTCTTCCCTAAGAAGGTGAACTATGAAATACAACTGGGAGTTAACTAAGGAAAGAAAACTGTGGGTAACAGCAGATATGCTACATGCAGAGGAAACGTCATGTGCAAAGTCCCTGTGATGAGAATCAGTTTGCCTGTTTTCTTATCCAGCAGCCGTTGGTTAAATGAGATGTCACATCCCTCTGATGCTTGAACCAATACTACAAATACACTCCGCAGAGGGGCTTGCAGCCATTTTCCAGAATGATTGTTACCTGAAGACAAATAACTCCCAGATTTTTGAGAACTGTTGTATCTGATTCTAAGCTGTAACTGACACCAGAGAATCCCGAACCCCATCTTTCCCTTGGGTTGAATTACAGATTTGTGAATACCGGGTGATGTAAGGAGAGTTCAATGTGTCTCTGAACCACATTGTAGTGATTTTCCCCATCCCAGAATGTTTACATGAGATGGATTTAAATGATGTCTTGTAGAACACTCAATTGGTTCTTTGGTGGCTGGAGTAAGAGCCATTAAGCCAGGAAAGGCCAAATGGGAGCCCTTGTACCACACAATGACCACCACTGTGACCAGTGTGAACCCAACAGTCCCTGACCTGACAAAGATGTTGAATTAGAACAATACTAATACTACTGAAGACTTAAAAAAGCAGGATAGAGTCTCCATGATAGGTCCACTCAATTGATCTATTTAGCCCTAACCCAAACCAGGTAGACTGTGGAAGCTCTAAAGTTAACTGCATTGTAGCTCTAATAGAAGTAGCTGAGCAAGAAGTACTATTGTGGCATATCAGCCCAGCCTTTCACACTTGTTCTTTTCAAATTTATCAATAAAGGGAATTGAAAGTAGTTTGCTAATTTATGGGAAAGAAAGTAGTGCACATTCACTATCTTGATCACTAAAGTAACACCCCTGTGGTCTGTCACAATATAGTCTGTTGGGTCATTGATTGTTTTAATGTTCTGTGGGATATCATCCTTGTCTGCTGCATGAATGATATCATGCTAACTGAACATGATAAGCAGTATGTGGTAAGTATTTTGTATGCCCTAGTCAGATACTTATGAACATGGAAATGGTAGGATATAAACTCCATGAGGATTCAGTCATTTGCTAAATTAGTCAACATTTTGGGTGTCAGAAGTATGCTAGAATGCTCCTTTGTGAAGTTAAATACAAGTTATTGCCTCTTTCACCCCTTATTACTAAGAAAGGGGCATGCCACTTGAAAGTTTATGAGGATGTTGAAGGCAGTATATGGTACATTTGGGGACACTTCTCTTCCATATTTATCAAGTGAATCCTAAAGTTGTCAATAGAAGAAACTAGCAAGTCAAGGATGCCATACATGTTGTTCAACCACTCAGGTTGTAGATATGGCACATCCAGTGGTGCTAGATATGTGTGTGGTAGATAAGGATGCTCAATGGAGTCTTGGTAAAAATAATAGCAGTGTAGCACAAACTCCTAGGATTATGGAGCTACTCTATCTTTAAAGAGCAAAATGTGGCTAAATACAATAGATTTTCTTTCTCTTGAGTTTTCTAAATTATGTTTGACAATAAACACCACGATAATAACACTGTCTGATTTGGTTCTAAATATCTGTGGAGAAAAATATTTAAGACAGTTATATTATAAATGAGAAAGGGTCAAGGAACATAAAGGAATATAAGGTTTCTTCATATTGCTCTAGTTGGTAAAATGACAACAGTAGCATATGAGGTGTGTGTGTGTGTGAGTGTGTGAATACATATATAGTAATAACTGGAGTAGTCAGTGAAAAGCTATACAAAAGGACACACTCAAAAACAGTATAAATCAAAATAGGTTTCTCCAAAATGTTCAAGTAGCACACAGAAAGGTAAGAAAAAGACAACAGAGATGAAAATCAGAAAGAACAGAAGAAAAAAATAAAATGGCAGACACAGTGCTAAATATTGTTATAATAAATGTAAAGTCTTAATGAACCAGTTAAAAAACAAAGATTGACAGGATAGATTTAAAAATATGATCCAAATATATGCTACCTACAAAAAACTAACTTCAAATAAAATGGTAAAGTGAGGTTGAAGAAATTAGGAAAAATTAAATATCTTGCAGACATTAATTGAAAGAAAGCAGAAGCGGCTAAACTAATGTAGTAACATGCCATGAAATGATATTTTAGTCAATGACAGACTGCATATACCATGGTAGTCTCATAAGATTACAAAATTATATTCTTACTGTACCTTTTCTATGTTTAGATACACAAATACTTACCATTGTGTCCTAATTGCCTACATTATTTAGCACATAGCATGCTGTTCAGGTTTGTAGCCTAAAAGCCACAGGATGTATAATATAGGCTAGGTGTTTAGTCAGCTGTACTATTTAGGTTTGTACAAATACACTCTACAATGTTTGCACAATAATGATATTGCTTAATCACTCATTTCTCAGAAAGTATGTAATAAGAGATGCATGCCTGTATTACATAGAGTAGAATTCAAAGTAAATTACCAGAGATAGAAGGACATTATACAATTACCCCTCCATATCAGTGGGTTCTGCATCCATGGAGTCAACCAACCATAGATAGAAAATATTTATTTTAAGAAAGGATGATTGCATTTCTATTGAACATGTAAGACTTTTTTGTCTCTTGTCATTATTCCCTAAACAATACAATATAACAACTATTTACATAGCATTAGTATTATAGTAGGTATTATAAATAGTCTAGGGATGATTTAAAGTATAGAAGAGACTATGCCTAGATTATATGCAAGTACTATGCCATTGTATATAAGGGACTTGTATTTTGGTACCCATGGGGGTTCCGGAACCAATCCTTGATGAATATAAAGGGATGAATGTATGGTGATAAAATAGTCAATCTACAAAAAAGACATAGTGAACCTAAATGTTTATGTACCATACAACAGAATTGCAAAATGTATGAAGCAAAAATGATTCACATGAAAGATAAATAAATAAATAAATAAATAAATCTTTAATTATTGTAGTTGTAGATTTTAACACTCCTCTGTTAACAATTGATAGAACATTTAGACAGAAAAACAGCAAGGATATAGAACCTAACAACACCACTTCTAAACAGAATCTAATTGACATTTATTGAACACTTTCCTCAACAACAGCAAAGTACATCTTCTTTTCAAGTACTCATGGAACATATACCAAGGCAGGTCATATCATTAGCCATGAAACAAATGTCAACAAATTTTTAAAAACTGAGATAATATGGAATGTTCTTTCCAAATACAATACAATCAAGCAAGAAGTCATCAATAGAAAGATAACAGGAAAATCTTTTAACATTTGAAAACTAAGCCACATACTATGAAATAACTCATGGCTCAAAAAGGAAATCTCAAGGGAAATCAAGAAATGCAGTGAACTGAATGAAAATGAAAATACATCAAAATTTTTAAGACACAGCAAAAGCAGTGCTGGAAGGAAAATTTGTAAGATTAAAAAGAGTATAGTAGGAAATAAGAAAAGTTGCAAATCAATAGTCTAAG
Source organism: Homo sapiens (assembly GCF_000001405.40). Lineage (NCBI taxonomy): Eukaryota > Metazoa > Chordata > Mammalia > Primates > Hominidae > Homo > Homo sapiens. The sequence continues at coordinate 188,774,406 of NC_000002.12, forward strand.
CTCAATAATCAAGAAAAAGAAAAGTAAAATAAACCCCAAACAACTAGAAGGAAAGAAATAATAAAGATAAAAGCAGATATCAGTGAAACTGAAAAAAAAGAAAGAGAAAAAGCAATGAAACAAAAAGCCTGTTCTTTAAAACTATTAATAAAATATTCAAACCCCCAGCAAAACAAAGAAATAAGAAGACAAAAAATACTAATATCAGGAATGAAACAGGGCCTATTACTACAGACCAGATACAATAAATATTAATAGGACAAAAAATGAATAATATGAGTAAATCTCCACTGTATCCTCACCACATTATTTCCAGTATCTTGGCCATGTCTCGTACTACAGTTCTGTATTGCTTCTGTGTGCATGGGATCACTCTGTATTATTTCTTACAACTGCATGTAAATTTAAAATTATCTCAATGTTTGAAGTTTATTTATTTATGTATGTTTATTTTTATTTTTGAGATGGAGTTTCAATCTTTTTGACCAGGCCAGGGTACAATGGCGCTATCTCAGCTCACTGCAACCTCCGCCTCCCGGGTTCAAGCGATTCTCCTGCGTCAGCCTCCCGAGCAGCTGGGATTACAGGCGCCTGCCACCACGCCTGGCTAATTTTTTGTATTTTTACTAGAGACGAGGTTTCACCATATTGGCCAGGATGGTCTCGATCTCTTGACCCCCTGATCTGCCCGCCTTGGCCTCCCAAAGTGCTGGGATTACAGGCGTGAGCCACCGTGCCCGTCCTTGAGGTTTATTTTTAACAACAAACAGGTACTGATGCTACTGTTTTTGTAGTGAAGACGTTATCTGTAGTTTACTGAGTGACTATGAAACTATAATTGCTCATCATTCCTTCTTTGCGGGGGTACAGGATATTTCTTTCACCCCAGGTGGAGTTCAGTGACACAATTATACCTCGCTGCATTCTTGACCTCCTAGACTCAAGTAATCCTTCCATCTCAGCCTCCTGAGTGACTGGGACTACAGGTGTGTGACACCACGTATGGCTAATTTTTAAATTTTTTGTACAGACAGTGTCTCAGTATGTTGACCAGGCTTGTCAGAAACTCCTGGGCTCAAGTGACCTCCCAATATGCTGGGGATTACACGTGTGAGCCACTCTACCCGGACTCATTATTCATCACTCCTTTTTAAACTATGGAAGATAAGACATGTGTTTATATGTAATTCTACATTTATACACAATTTTATTATATGCATATAATCAATAAAATTATATTTTATTGATATGTACACAATACAATTCCATCACTTAAAATGGACAATTTGATAGTTTCTAGTAAATTCACAGATTTGTATAACCATCACTACAATCAATTTAAGAACATTTTCATTACCCCCAAAAGAAACTTACCAGTTAGCTGTCTCTCCTCCAATATCCTTCCTCCCCACAGCCTAGGCAAGCATTAACATACTTTCTGCTTCTACAGAATTGTCTATTCTGGATACATTAAATAAATGGAAATATGCAATATGTGTCCCTCTGTGACCAGCTTCTATTAGCATGTTTTCAAGGTTCATCTCATGGGAAGTCATTATTTTGTTCCTAAAGATATCCATGCCCTAATCTCTTTGTGCATGTGTTAGGTTACCTAGAAAAGAGAATTAAAGTTGCAGACAGAATTAAGACTGTTCATCAGTTCCCTGAAAATAAGATTGTCCTGGATTATCAGGAAAATCCAATGTCATCACAAGAGTGCTTAAAACTGCAAGAGAAAGAAGAGGAGGTCTGAATGATGTGTGAGGACTGGATCCACCATTGCTGGTTTTGCAGGTGAAGAAAGAAAGTCATGAACCATGGAATGTGGTAGTCTCTAGTTCCTGGAAAAGGTTTAAAAAAAAAATATTCCCTGTAGAATCTCCAGAAAAGAACACAGCCCTGCTGACACTATCTATGATTTTAACTCAGTGAGACTTCCAATCAATAGAACTGTAATAGAATAAATTCGCATTAATTTAAGACACTAAATTTGTGGTAATTTGAACTAATATATTTTTAATGTAAGTCTTTAGAGTTATGCATTTCTTTCCAAGCACTGCTTTAACTCCATTCCATAATGTTAGCATGTTGTGTCTTTATTTCCATTCATCTCAAGATAGTTTCTAATGTCCTCTGTGATTTCTTTTTTGACTTACTAATTATTTAGGATTGTGTTATGTTTCACATATTCATAAATTTCCCTAATTTCTTTGTTATTGATTTGTAATTTTATTTCATTTATGCTAGAGAGCACATTTCCTTAATTTAAATAATCCTTTAAAAGGATTATTTCAATCCTTTTATATTTTCTTTATGTATTAAGGCTGGCTTTGTGGCTATCATATGGCATATCCTGAAAAAATATTCTATGTGCACTTGAAAAGAATGTCAAGTGTGTAATGCTCTTGGAATTGGATGTGCGTAATGCTCTTGGAATTCAGAAAGTAATCAGAGAAAACATTGTTAGGCAAAGAGATAGAAACTTGTAGAATACACATAAATATCAGATAATACATATGCTTGACTCTAATTTTTAGGACTAATGTGATTGAGAATATGTTATGGACAAACCATGGGAAAATCTTGAACACCAGGAGAAAGAACATGGGGATTTTTTTCTAAGCTTTATAAAAGCAGTGGTTGGGCCGGGTGCGGTGGCTCACACCTGTAATCCCAGCACTTTGGGAGGCGGAGGCAGGTGGATCATGAGGTCAGGAGATCGAGACCATCTTGGCTAACACGGTGAAACCCCGTCCCTACTAAAAATACAAAAAATTAGCTGGGCGTGGTGGCGGGTGCCTGTAGTCCCAGCTACTCTGGAGGCTGAGGCAGGAGAATGGCATGAACCCGGGAGGCGGAGATTGCAGTGAGCCGAGGTGGCGCCACTGCACTGCAGCCTGGGCGACAGAACGAGACTCCGTCTCAAAAAAAAAAGCAGTGGTTGATTTTGAAGTTGGAGAACAAATGTTCAGTGCCTTACTTCAGGATGAAAAATACTTGGCACTAATGTGGAAAAAAAATAATTCAAAACTCTGCTATTGATCTACAAATTAAGTGTCCCTGAATGAAAATGTGTTCCTTATATACGTACTTTAGAATTGACTGCAGGGATTACAATCTCGTTCATCATTGCTAGCAAATATCCACAACTAGTTTCCATCTCCACCTTCTGCCTGTTGAGTACTCATTCTGTGACCTCAAGAAATGCACCTGATTTCTTTAAGCAAACCTTCTAGAAATCACTTTGATTGCATGTAAGTACAGAGAATTTACTTAAGTATACCAAAGTCGTAAGTAGCAGTAGGACTCAAACAGCTTTAGATTCTGAGGTTTACATATGTATTTACCAACCTAGACTATTAAATATTTTATATAGTTTTTATAAACTGGATTTATAGTTTTAAAGCTAAATTTTGAGATAACATTGTTACTCAAAAAAGTTATTCTTCCCTGCAATCTTAATTCAAATGATTCATTCATATGGGAGCATTTCTAAATAAATTATATGATATCGTATGACTATTTTTAAAAAAAAAACAGCATAAAAATGGAAATACATTTTTTAAAAGAATTTTCTGAAACTCTTGTTGGATCTATTTGAGATTTGGAAAATAACCTTAAAGGTGTTTTAAAGTTGAAATTAAATTTATAATGTTACTTCTTGAGCATTATAACACATGAACTGGGAATGTAGGGTTAAATTATAAAAATAACAACAGGCACACTACTCCTTCACTGCAGTTCCACCCTGAGTACAGATAGTTAAATTCTGTAGAATAATCCTGCAATCAGTCCCTTAAACGTTGTTATTATTTGAGGTTCTGTTCTAGTCATCTCTTGGATATTTCCCTGAACCTTTAGTAAATCACATTGTTCTATGAAAGTGGTTGCATAAGAAACCATTATTTTGACATCTATTTATGAATTTTCTAGGCTGAGTACAGATTTACTTGTAAGATGCTATTATTTGCAAAGACAATATGATTTTATTCCCAAATTCTGATTTTATTCTAATAATCAACACCACAAGAACATAGAACCAGCTGCAGAAAATGATTTCTGTGGTATGTTCCTCCTGGAGTCAATAATATGCATCTTAGGAGTTTGGTTTCACTAATACAGAGGTACTTAGATGGTGAATGCTGCTATTTCTAAGGAGAAGCTTATCTTCCCGTTAAACTCAATCTACCTACAAAAGTGAACAGAAGTTTAAGTCAAGGGTGAAAAAGTGCCTCTATTAAGTTACAATTAGGCCAATCAATATCTGACAGAGATTAAAAGCAGTGACAAGTTTAAAACACATTTTATTCATGGACAACCATAAAATTATAAATTGTAAAGAATATTAAGTTTTGCCTATGAGTTTCATTTTTACCAGAATTTGAAAATAATTCAAGAATTAATATTACCATTGTTATTTAAAATGACAATCACATCTAGTCATTTTTTAATAACTTGAATAGCATTATAAGAAAATGAAACAGAGCCAGAAAGAGGTTTCGAAGCCCTAAGCACTGAAAAGATTATCGTTTTCCCTGCTTTGGTTTAAAATAAAAAAAGATGAAGTAACTTGTAAAGAATGCAAAATTTTCTAATTTTTTTCATGAAAACGACTTCAATTTATTTTTTATTTTTTGTTTTTTTGAGACTGAGTCTCGTTCTGTCACCTAGGTTGGAATGTAGTGGTGTGATCTTGGCTCACTGCAACCTCCACCTCCTGGGTTCAAGCGATTCTCCTGTCTCAGCCTCCTGAGTAGGTGGGCTTACAGAAGCAAGTGGACACCACCACCACACCTGGCTAATTTTTATATTTTTAGTAGAGACGGGGTTTCACCATGTTGGCCAGGCTGGTCTCAAACTCCTGACCGCAGGTGATCTGCCTGCCTTAGCCTCCCAAAGTGCTGGAATTCAACGCACCCAGCCAAAAACTACTTCAAGTTTTTTGAAGTACCAAAAATAAAACTATTTCAAAAACATATTTAGTGCCTTGAATTTCTGCTGCATGCACTTGGCCTCCCTGGGAATTAGATTAATTGTCATGCTAGGAGATATTCTCCTATTCAGTCTGAAGGCCTAGGAAGTCACACAGGATAGTCTTTGTTTTGTTGGGAGGATGGGCACTCTGTGGTTAATGAGAATGGTTACAAATGGGGCAAACAAGAGAAAAATAACAATCTTATAAACTTCCCTTTGCTACTGCTATTATAGTCTTAATGAAAAGCCGCTAGATGCTACTGGCCCAAGTGAGAAGTAGTCATTGTATCAATTTAGTCCCATAATAAGTTGGCACAGTCCATTTTTTAATTATTTATTTTATTATTTATTTATTTATTTATTTTTTGAGATGGAGTCTCGCTCTGTTGCCCAGGCTAGAGTGCAGTGGCGCCATCTCCGCTCACTGCAAGCTCCGCCTCCCGGGTTCAGGCCATTCTCCTGCCTTAGCCTCCTGAGTAGCTGGGACTACAGGCGCCTGCCACCATGCCCAGCTAATTTTTTGTATTTTTAGTAGGGACGGGATTTCACCGTGTTAGCCAGGATGGTCTCGATCTCCTGATCTTGTGATCCGCCCGCCTTGGCCTCACAAAGTGCTGGGATTACAGGCATGAGCCACCGCGCCCTGCCGGCACAGTCCATTTTTTAATAGTTCTTAACAAAGTTAGAAGTCTATAAAAGGTGTTACTTCTAAGATATAATTTGCGAATCTTTTGCCATTGGGTATTCAAATCCAAGTTCATTTGTTCTCTCTATATATCAGGTCTGGAACACATATTTTATCAAGAACGGATAATGTAATAGGCCGCTTCTTGGACTGAATGTGGTCAGTATTACATGTCTAATGCTTTTTCCTTCCTAGCTTTTTAGCTTAGATTTTCTTTTATGCCTGACAAATTAGACTATTCAAATTTTACTAATGAACTTAATATTTCTCCACTGAGAAAAAAGATTAGTTTATTTTACTTAAAAATGAAGACAGTTTTCCTTAGGGAAATGCATGATATGTTAATTCTTCATAGTCTACATTTATGTGTTTTCAAAACTCCTTTCCTTTTGGCTGACAGTATGAAAATTAGGTATTCTTGTCAAATAATGCATCTGTGTGGGAATACTCACTGACTAAAAGCTGTCACGTAGTTGAAGGCATGCAGAGACTGGGTCAGTCTGGTTTTCTGGTTTTCTTCTGCCACATTTAGTTGCATGAATTTGGGTAATAACAGCTCCCCTCACTCAGTTTATATTTTTGTAGAAGGTTAATAAGTGCTAAGTTAACAGTAAAATAATAATATTTAAAGTGATAGATTAAATCATTGAAAAATTTGAATAATTTCAAATTTAGGGACAATTAAGAAAAACATTTCTTGATGGTAGGAAAAATAGACTTAAGTTAGAAGATAATGCTGTATGTAAATCTAGATATTTAGATTGCTAAATAATTCCATTTGGACAGAATCGTGAGTTTTAAATTTGCTAATCATATGAAAAAATAGCTAGAGTGTGAGTTGATTTTTGCTTTCCTATTAGTGAACAGTGTGATTTTATTGCTTAAAAATTAATGAAAGTTTATGTTGCATTTGTAGTCATGTTGAGAACAGAGGTCATTATTTCAAGAAACGAGATGTCGCCAGAATCACTGCAGCAACTTTCAAAGTCATAAAATGATTCCCTGTCTTATTAGTGTCCCCTCTAATTCATTTTCCACAACCATGGAATGACATTTTGAAATTTGCATATGAAGTTCTCCAATTTAAAATCAGCCTATGGTTTCCTAATACTGTAGGCAAAAGTGTCCATGTTATCAGCATGACATACACATCCCCTTCCGGTAAGACTCCTGTTAAATCTCCTGGCCTTATCTATGTCCATTCCCCCTGCTCCCTCTCACCCTGGACACCAGTCATGACATACTATCTTGTCACACCTGGCTGTCTCAGTTCTTCATGTCTTTACCATAGTGCATCCTCTTCCAGGATTTGCCTCATCATTCTGTTCCAGTCCTCATTCTTGACTTAGTATGCTTAAAGTAATCCTTATTATCTTTGGAGACGCAACTTAATCACTACCTGCTCTAAGAGCTACTTTGTGATAGTTAACCACTCTTTCCTTTCAATATGCCCTTTCTTAGTATCTGCAACATATTATTTTCTGACTACTGGTTTATAAGCGTCTTTTAGATATCATGTCTGTCTCACTTTTTGTATCCCCAGCATCCAGCTTATTCTCAAGGACATACTTAGCACTAAGTAAGTGGTGAGTGGATGGATATGTGTTTTAAGATAAATGAATGCATAAATCAATTCTATGTAATATCAGTGGGTAGTACCAAAGAGTGTAAGTTGGGCAGAGCAAATTTTGCCGTAAATTGTTAACTATAAAAGTATTTTATAAAAAGAAAGGATATTTATCTGGCAGTTACATTGTAGAAAAGATTGCTTCACTGGGTGAGGGATTGGATTGGATAGTATCTAAATAATAATCATCATAACATACTATTAGCAATGGCTTTATTCCTTTATCACCTCCCACAACAATTAATGAATGCTTATTACGGGCCAGGGACTGTGCTAAGTATTTTAAAAAATGATCTCATTTACCAGAAAAAAAAGGAGTGGGTCCTCAGATATATATATTGACTTGTTTTTGGTGTAGCATGACTGAGTAAAAAGAAATTTAATTCCATCTATTTCTAAACTTTTGTGTTTCCAACTATTTTGCCACATCCCTGCATTCCTATAACAGCTTAGATCCAGAGCCCTGACACCACAGAATCTCTCACCTGATGACTGTGTAGCACAAAACACTGAGTAAACTAGGGCTAAGACTTAGGCCAAGGTCAAGGGAAAAGGAAAAATGAGAGGGCATCATGAAACTAATATGGATTCTTGAAATTCAGAGATTTGGAGGAAGAGGAACAGGAGCTGAGAGATTCAGGTTAGTGAGAGAGAGCAAAAGGTCTACACCTTTTGATGGAGCTAGCTGAGCAACCTTTAACCGCTTAAAAAAAATAAAGAGCAGTTTTTCTTCCAGATTTCAGCAACAAATAGGTCTCCTTGATCCCTCTCATCCATTTGGTACCACTCCCAATCCCACTCATTTTACCTACACCCTCTTGTCTAAAATTCTTTTAACTAGAGAGAAAGCTTTTCAGTTTACAATAAAACATAAAAGTTAGGGAATTATGCCTTGGTCCCACAATAATCCTTAAAGTTATTACATTATAAATATCCAAATGTTGTGTTTTATTTTTTTCCAGAAAGTAAAATGATTGCCAGACTGTACAACATAATGTCCTGGATACATTTATAGTATATTTGTCTTCTTTCCTCTTGTGTTAGCCTAGAGCATAAATAGAAGAAATTTGAGTTTGAGACCAAGCTTTGGAAGTAGTAAGAAAGGAGTACATTAGACCATGAGATATAATGAAAGTGAATCTTCCAAATGCCCTTATTGCCACTCCAACTGAGGCAAGAAATAATATGCCTTGGAGAAAGATTTCAGAGAAAGGCATATAATTCATTAGGACTCAGTCACAGTTCTTGTTACTCAACCCCACTAGAAATTCCATCCTTCCTTTCCCAATCATGATACTCTTTGCTGCTCCCATCTCTCCTTTAAATGACACCCATACTTAGCTCCATAATAAACTTTCTTTACCAGGGCATGGTTATATTAGAACCTTCTTTTTAGTAATACTTATCATTGTTTAAAAATTTTATTTTTTATACTTCAAATTATATTGGCTTTAATTTAAACTAGATCCCAACTCATTCCGAGGTGAATGAGAAAAGGAAAATATGACTGTTGTTTTCTACTTCCCAATAGTTTGTAAATCTCACCATGCGGTAATATCTGATTTTTTTAAAAGAGTTTTTTTTGCTAACAAAGTATAAACTACCAAATATCAAAGTGATTCTAGATATTTGTAACAGATTACTTAGAAAATTCTGTTGTATTTTTTCCTGTCAGAATATCCTGGAGTCATAAGCTTTATTTAATTACAATTTTGACAGTGTGTAACATTTTATATACTCTTTGCTGTTCCCATCTCTCCTTTAAATGACACTCATACTAATCTGGGTGTCATTTTATTTGTTTATTTATTTATTTATTTATTTATTTATAGATTGAGTTTCGCTCTTGTTGCCCAGGCTGGAGTGCAATGGTGAGATTTCGGCTCACTGCAACCTCCACCTGCTGGGTTCAAGCGATTCTCCTGCCTCAGCCTCCCGAGTAGCTGGGATTACAGGCATGCACCACCACACCTGGCTAATTTTGTATTTTTAGTTGGGACAGGGTTTCTCCATGTTGGTCAGGCTGGTCTTGAACTCCCGATCTCAGGTGATACCCCCGCCGCCTCGGCCTCCCAAAGTGCTGAGATTACAGGCATGAGCCACCGCACCCGGCCTTGCTGGGTGTCATTTATATGACAATATCAGTAGATAGAAAAGTTCATGTTGACCAGTAAATTTATCTGTGGATGTTAAATATCATTTTTGGAAATATGAGGTATAATGCATAGAGTACTGTTTTTAAATATAGTCATGTTTCAGCATGACTATGGACAAAATTCAACATCTCATATAAAGGAATTCAGTTTGGTCTGACTAATATAGTTATCTTTGTGCCACATAACACAACTCTCAATCCAAAAGTCAACATCTCACATGCTTATTCTAGTTCTCATGACCCTCAGTTCTAGCTAAGATCAAAAGGATTATGTGTGGATGCAAATAGACTTAAGTAGTGAAATTATTTTTTAAAGGAAATCTCTAACAGAAATCAAAAGATAATTTTTTTGTAATGATGTAATGTCTGACTCAGCTGAACCTGCAGTATTCTACCTGCAAAGTAACTACAATAAAAGAAGACAGAGAGGCCCCATTTCCCCATGAGATATCTTGGTGTACAACTACTTTATTAACTGGCTTTAATGTGCACATTGGTTCCCCGAAAATAAACATCTATTTCAGGTTTGGAGATGTGATGTGCTCCCCTTCAGGTTCTGACTGACAAAGCCAACTGGAAAATGGGGCCTCACTGACTCAGGCTCTAATTCTGGAGAGTTTCACTGTTGTTGGAATAAAAATCATCAGAGAATAAAAGTCAAATGCAAAAATATTCTTTGACACTCTAGAGCAATCCTAGAGGTTACTGGAGGTAGTAATGTTGTATATGCTTCTTAGGACCCATAATGAAAATATGTGCCTAAGAGTTTATGTATTTTACATTAATTGATCAAAGTGTCATAATCCAAATATATCTTTCTAAGTTTTCATAATATTTTTAAGATTTCAAGTAATTCAAATGTTAAGATTTCTCTTTGAATTTCTTAACTTAATAAACTTATTCAATAGCCTATTAAACAGAAGACACTCTAGGGTTCCAAGAGGATAAATATATAGCCAGCTTCTAGAAACTTATAGCCTATTCAAATCAACTACATAAAATCATACTAACATAATTACTCGCTTAAACTAGATATATAAAGATAATATAGTATTTGATTCTTTGTTCATAACAAATAGAGCTCTATAAAGTTTGATTGCCAGCTATTCTTTTTTTCTTAAAGATCAAAGATTCACATTTCTAATATTTCTCAGTTATTCAATATCCATGAACGGTTAAAAGACATGAAAATGAATTTTTTTATTTTTTGAATTTTTTATTTACAATTTTAAGTTCAGGAGTGCATGTGCAGGATGTGCAGGTTTGTTACATAGAGGGGCCTGTTGGAGGGTTGGGGGTGGGAGGAGGGAAAGAGTCAGGAAGAATAGCTAATGGATGCTGGGCTTAATACTTGGGAAATAAGTCTAAAATATGTGTAGTCCTTTAATGATACTCTTGAGGACAGTACCGAGCCATCACTTTTAGATGACTAAACACATGTCTGAAGTTCAGAGACTGACATAAACCAGCCCTTAATTTTTTCCCCAGCAACATAATCATCCATACCATGATCACATCAGATGGGCAACAGAGACCACCTTATCTCTTTGGTCACCTTCTTTCTTCTTCCATCTTCTCGGTCTTCTCAGATTACAATTATTTGCTTTTTAAACTACTCGAAGTATATTACCTTAGAAACACAATTTGTAAATATTTAGGGGTTCTAATTTTAATTTCCAAGCATCCTTCAATGATTGGATAATATATTTTCCTATGTAACCCAAATGTTCCAAATCCTCTTGCTTTCATCTAATGTAATTGTATCAAGTCCAGAAGCCTTGGCCGTAATTCCAGGGATTACGGAGATACATATTTTTTCTCTTGTTCACTCCTCTCTCTTCTGAACTTCTGGCTTTTCTTTAATCACCACTGCCTCATTGCTCATTTGCTCATGCCGGGTGTTGTCCTCTCTCTTTACCACTTGGTCCCAAGTTGGAACGTAAACCGTCCCTAAGGCTCTATTAACACACAGCTATCGTGTGTGTCTGATGGCACTGAAGCCTTTGGAGATGATGGAGGAGAATCACAACATAGGACATGAAATAATCTAAAGCTGGGTATAGGTATCATGTTTCTTAAGTTTTCTGGTCATGCCCATAAAAGAGAGCTCTTTTGTGCCTGTCCTTCTCCTTAGGTATAAGCTTCCTCTGGTGGCTCTGGGGCCTGGTCACTCAGAACTGAACAACGCCCACTACTCGCCATCCCTACTCCCCACCCCACTAAACAGTAATTTGTGGAATAAATCAAACAAAACCAAAACATTCTCTCTCCAAGGTTAATACCTTTTACTTCACTATCCAGGGAATTAGTGTATTTTCTTAACTTTTCCCTGTAGATGCTTCACTTTCTGTAACTGAAAAGCCTACTAACTCCCCTAAATACAAGAACAACATTCACCAGAAGTAAATTTTGTCACGACATAAGATGGAAAGAATATACAGACAATGCTTTGTGATTTTTTAATTTACATTTTTCCCTCCTCTTTTGACATGAATTTGCATTTCTGTGTTTGCATAATCTCTATTTCTCTACTCAGAATTTCTAAGAAATGATAATCTTCTCTGGGAAAGAATGGTAGCCAGGAAATCATCTGAAATAAAAGTGAGTCACTTGGAAGTGAAGGACTGGCCCGACTGGGAGGAGTTAATTACACATGACACAAGGGAAACGCAAACCCAAACTTCATATTGGTCTGAGTGAGAGGAGTTAGTTAATTATAGTTGAAACAGGGGAAACTCAAACCCAAACTTTATACTGAGAGCTTTGAGCGCCCTTGTCATTAATAACTAGGCTAACAAATATATGAACATATCTACAGGCTCCTAGCTTTTTGTCTTTGAGCCCAGAGTTGAAAATAAATCCTTGGCAGTGATCCATTTGCTTCCATCTCTGTGTACCAACTTCATTTGTCAGAGTTCCCAAGCCAAAGTGATCTCCAAATCAAAAGGCAATACCCCAGGTCAAAAAGCTGCAATCACAAAAAGCTACTTTTAGCTCCAGAATTTTCTCCTCTTTCCCCGTTTCCCCAGATCCCTCCAGTTTTTCTTTTTGTCTCTGTCCATTTCTCTTTTTTTTTTTCCCATTTCTCCACTCTCTGTTTCCTAACACATGGTTTTAAATTGAGATTAAAGAGAACAAAAAGGAAGGCTGCAATGTTCATTGTCCTTTTCTTCCGTAGGATAGACATTTATACCACACTTTACAACATTTTCCCAGCTCCAGTAGGTTTTCTTTTTTCATGACAACTTTGTAAAACTGCATTCCTAAGGAAGTTCATCACTGTTTTTTATTGCATGCTCTTGAAATTTTCCAGAACCCTTACCAGAAGAGGCTTCAGTAAATGGAGTTAGCATTTGAGCTCTACAGAGTCAGAGTCAAAAATAACAGTAGTCACGTGGTCAACAATATTTATACGATACTTAATCGTCTGAGCTCACAAGATAAAGAGCAGGCATTTCACTGTTCATAACATGTTCAGAAAAAGTGGGTTTGTAACAAGGTTTTTAATACCTGTCACTTGCAGGAATGCTAGGTTCTTCTCAAAGGAGAATTCTACATTGATTTAAACTCATTGACATACAAAGTATGCATCATGGATATATGTGATTTTACATAACTACATAGACGTCATAACGGACCTATGTCCCCTTTCTTCACACAGAAGTAGCTCTGCCTCTAGGCAGCATTGCTCACATTATGAGAAGCAAAATTACTATCTTTTTTTCAAAAATGTTCATAAAGTAATTAAAGTAAGTAGAAAAATTCAACTTATAGTTTGGAGACTCTTGCAGAGATAGGTAAATTTTTTGAACTTTTAGAATAGGATTTATGTCTGTGTTGCTTTTCTGAGATCTGAAATGAATGTGTGTGTGTGTGTGTGTGTGTGTGTTTCCAAAGAGCTAACGTGGCATATCTTCATCCTCAGATTCACTTTTGCCCTTGGACTCTTTCTCACCCTTCTCCTCCTTAGGGAGACAGGGGAAACAAAAGTACTGTTTCAGCCAACTGACTTTATTAAAGCTTTCTCATCTACGAGGCATGAGAATATGTTTGTGAATCTGTTTCTCTTTTGTTTGGCAGTGAGAAGTGCAATTGCTCTTTAATTAGAACCTTCTGTGTACCATAAATATGGTTTAACCCAGGTGTTTAATCTACCTCCAATGCAAGTGCAAATTGGTGACATGAGTCAAATGACAATTTTATTTAATTATCAGACAAGTTAGGAATAGCTAAACGCCAGCCACCATCAATTCACTGAGTTAAGGATCTTTGCTAATAATTACAGCAAAAGAGAGGGGAGTAATAAAGGGAGTGTACTGGAAATCACAGTAGACAAGATCATGAGACTAAATGCTAGACTTGATGATTCTGACAATATTTATCTGTATGGGAATGGCCAAATCTTTTAAGATTATTGGAACTTGGTATTCTTATCTGTAAAAATTAGGACTATTATTTCTAAAATATTTCACCATATAACTTATAAGATTATACCCAGCTCTCAGATCCTGTAATTCTAATCAACACATAGAAAGACATGAAAAAACAGAAAGAAGTAGACGAATATTTATTAGGTCGGCTATTGTAAGAATTTATGGATTTAAGAAACCCATATTCAGTCTTCACTTTATCACTGATGTTTTGTTTTCATGTCATTTTAGTAAAAATGTTTGCTGATATTGTCAAGGGATTTCCTAGCTAAAATATAATTAAAAGATCTCTCAGTGTCATTTCTCTTCTAATTGCAGTTCCATCACATTAATCTCCTACAACTAACTGAAAATAGCAATGTCATTCACAAATACAAAGAAATATGTCTAATCAAACTTCATTGAAATAACACAATTACCTCCTTTCCCTAATGTTTGGCTGTAAGCAAAATCCAAGAGCTGTATCTTTTATTTTTCTTTGTGTTAGTTCCTGTTCATGTGTGGGAGAACATTGGTCAGTGACTCACATTACTGACACACAGCCAGCACAGCTGGATAGGCACAGAATGCATTTCATAATAAAAGGGACAAAGAAAGAAAGATAGAGAAAAAAGTTTATGTGTTTGGTTTATTTTAAAAATCTATACAGCTTAATGCTAAAAAGCAAGAACCAAATTTTTCTAAACAAACAGCTTCAAGGAAAAATAATTTTGGAGGGACTAATTAAAATTACTTTAAGAACTCTTAATATGTAAAATACTTCTTTAAGGCAGCTATTCCCTGTGGAAATCTTACCCTCTCCCATGAAAAAGAACCAGCAATTTATGACTGTCATGAGAGTAAAACTCTAGTGAGAATTTAGAAGTACACACAATAAAATAAAAATACTCCACAATAGTTTTGAACTCTTGAAGAAAATGACAGGAATAGTATTATGTGTAACCAAATATATATATATACACACACATATATATACGTATATATACATATATACGTATATATATACACATATATACGTATATATACATATATACGTATATATATACACATATATACGTATATATACACATATATACGTATATATACACATATATACGTATATATACACATATATACGTATATATACACATATATACGTATATATACATATATATACGTATATATACACACATATATATACACATATATATATATATACTCAGAAATATCTGCACTCCAGCTTTGAAAATGTGAGTTAGCTGACACATAACAATGTCAAAGAAGACACATTTTTACAGAAGAACTTTCCTTAAATAAAATAACATTTCCCAATCCATTAAATGTAAATGACATAGTCACTTATCATATATTTTGTCTATGCTGTATAGAAGTTAAATTAAGTTGTTCGCTGTATACTTAAAACTAAAGGTTTTAGGATATGAGGTACTTTACAGCATGTCTATTATCACTAGTAAGAAAAGACTCTATAAATGTAAAAGGAAAGATCACTTCTTCAGACTATGTTAATAGAGTAGACTGTCCTGGCCTAAAATCTTATGATTGAGAAATGAGTGCCATAGCCAACCCACCATTTTGACAGAGCTCACCTGAATTTTTCCTTCTGGTGATGAGAAGCAATGCCAGAATTTCTACTCCAGCCATCTTCACACTTGTGGAGAGAAATTCAATAGTGATACATTTGTAGTGAGGAGAAAGATGTGTTAGCTTAACAACTGATGCAGGGTCTATCTTTTAAGGAAGATATTGTGTTTGTGGAGGAAAACATCTTGGAAGGTATTTAGAAGTGGAAAGTAAGACTTTAAGGGCAAGAGAAACTCTGCCCATGTCAAGAGACACAACTAAACTGCTTTGTATTTGGAAATCAATAGGAATTTGGAGAGAGAAACTAAAAACATGAGTAATCAACAAAAGATGATTTAACCTACATGATCGGAATCTGAAGCCCAAGATTTGGAAGGAGAGAGGGAACTTTAGGAACATCAATATCTAACATAGAATATTACATCTTGAGCCTTTTGGCAGTGTAAATCTCTACATCCCCTATAACTCAGTAGTCCTTTACACATATAAGAGTTTCTATAAGTAGTTTGGCATAACTAAGAAAAAGTATAGTGATCCACATCTAAAACAATATAATGCAAAACATAATAATACATATTGGACATTTAGATTATCCCTAAACTGATTCACACTAAGCAGGACTTAAGAGCTGAAAGTGATCATAAATTCTGATGAAATTTGAAAATTCTTGAGATACAGGTTGAACTCAGTGGAAAATACATTGAATCAATCTTACTGATCTCAAAAGGCAGGGAAATGCTGTTGAAATTTAGTTTACATAATTATTTTCTCTTTTTCTGGCTGTCCTTAAAGCTAACACTTGGCATGATACTAAAAACATTGTTTTAAGAGAAAATCTATTGTGGACAAATACAAGCTTTAGGAATAAATTAAAATGTTTAGAGGAATTAACACATCTGTGTAAAATTTTACATGTGTGCCAAACTGGTCCCCAAGCTAAAACTAGTGACATATTAAAACCCAACATATTAGCTCACACATTTACAATGAAATACAACACTTTTCGTAATACTATAGTTTGTGACAGTTCAAGAAGTGATGAATTGGAAAACATGCTATGATAGGCATGGGCAATTTAGAGCTCAGTCTGGACAATCGGTGATGATTAATCTTAAGAGGATTTCTGAAGTTCAGGCAACAAATGATTAAAAATCAACTTCAACAATAGTCAATGATGGCTGAATGTAAGATATTTAAACATGCATTGGAAAATACAATGGAACTAATTGTAGTCATGGACATTGAGAGAAGACTTCTGGATTCAGACAAATTTTTGCTCACTCAAATCCCTGTAACATTGTTTACCTTATATTACATGTCATAAATTGACTACGTTATGAAATAGGAAGGGTAATATCTATTTTTAAATGTAATAATTATAAACAATGTATAAAATATGTGACACAAAGAAGACTGGCAGTTTATAGTGACTATTGTATTATTATTTTGATTTTAGTAGTTGAACAGGAAAAAGAGAGAACAGCACAGACTGAAGTATTTATATCTCAATAATTAAACTTACTTAATATTTTCTATTATACATTTACCTAAAAAGTACAGGGCTGATACTTCCATATTTATATGGAATAACAGTTCTTAAAATATATAAAGCAAAATATTATTGAAATAAAGAGATGATCGATAAACTTGTAAAATTATCATCAGAGATGTAAATACCACCTCTACAATAGGTAGACCAAAATTAGTAAAGATACAAAATAATTTAACAACACAATAAACTTGAACTAATTAAAATACAAGGTCTCTATCCCAAAGAACTACAAAATAAATATCCTTTTTAAGTAGAAAAAAAATTCACTAAAAATATATATTTCAAGCCATAAGACAAGTCTGAATAAATTTCAACAACAGAAATCATTCATAGTACAAACCCTGACTACAAAGGAAGAAAGTTAGAAATCTCCCAATTATTTGTAAACAATGCACTCCTAATCAACCCAAGAGTCAAAGAAGAAATCAGAATTTGCACAAAACAGCTGAAAGAATTCTATCACTTATCTATTGATGTGTAGTGATCCACCCCAAAATTTAGTTGTTTAAAATAAAAACCATATTCTTTGCTCATAATTCTATGGCTCCACAGTTGGAGTTGAGGAAAAGGGAGTGTTGTCTGAGCAATTCACCTGTTGGTCTCACATGTAGGAAGTTTATACAGAATGTGGATGACTGATTTCTTCTCCACATGGTCTTATTTACTAGTTAGCTAGTTCAGGTGTCTTTACTTAGCAGTTGTGCATGCCATTTAAAGTGGAATTATTTTAGTTTAATATGACCAATTATTTGGTGCTTGTATATGCAAATAAAATTCAATTTAATACCATTGTATCCTGAAAACTTGTCAAATTCACTTATTAGGTAGGTTTTTTTCTTGGTAGATATCTCAGGAAACAGGTCAATTATCAGTAAATAAAATTTGGCTCCATGATTTTCAATATTTACACATTTTATTTTTTTTGTCTTGCTTCATTACACTGTGTAGGACCTCTATTACAAAGTTAAATAGTAGTGGCATGTGCCAGGTTATTGATTTATTGCCTCTCAGCTCCAAATCCACACTTCTTTGTCCTATTCTGTGATACTGTAGCTGGACCATAAAAACCTTTCTCCTTTGGCAGCTGGCAGAATGGTTTACAACCCACTTCTGAAGTTTTAAATATTCAGAGAGATCCCTTGGCTGGGAGCAGTGGCTCACGCCTGTAATCCCAGCACTTTGAGAGGCCGAGGCAGGTGGATCACCTGAGGTCGGGAGTTTGAGACCAGCCTGACCAACATGGAGAAACCCCGTCTCTACTAAAACTACAAAATTAGCCAGGTATGGTGGCACATGCCTGCAATCCCAGCTACTCAGGAGGCTGAGGTAGGAGAATCGCTTGAACCCAGGAGGCGGAGGTTGCAGTGAGCTGAGATCATGCCATTGCACTCCAGCCTGAGCAACAAGAGCGAAACTCCGTCTCAAAAAAAAAAAAAAATCCGAGAGATGTTACCTATACACTAAACACTGCGAAAGTTTGCTGAGAGAAAATAAAGAAGACATAAACAGATTGAGAGGCCCACCACGGTCATGGATTTTAAAAGTTCTATATTTTTAACATGTAAAATCTCCCCAAATTGAAATATAGATTCAGTTTATGCTACCCAGAATTTCAGCAAGGCTTTTCTACTGGAAGTTGAAAGGGTGATTATATTTATATGTGAAATCAAAGGAAGTGTACTAATTAAACAATCTTAAAACACAAGAATAAAGGTGTTGGTCTTACATTCTGGACTGGGGAAAAAATCCATTCAATAAATGGTGCCATACCTATTGTCTATCCATATGCAACCTCAATGAATGTCAAACCTTACCTTATAAAAATTATTCTGAATATATAGTGGAATTAAACACTGAACTGAAAACCAAAGAAGAAAACATTATAAAATCATTTTGTTTTCTTGGATAGGTAAAGATGTATTACAAAGGATACAATAAGAATTAGCAATAAAAAAGATTGATTAGACTTCATAAAAATTAAATGCATGTGTTAATCAAAGATACACTTAAGAAAAGGGACACGAAGGACAGACAACAATAGAAAATAATATCTATGCATATATTGGACAATTCAAATCCAGAATGTATAAATAATTTATACAGCTCAATAATAAAATACAGACAATTAAAAAATTATAAAGCAGTTGAACTGGCATGTTATAAGAGATGATATAAGAATAGCCAGTATGTTCTTTCTGTATCCCAGCAGAAGGTTTTGAACCACCTTAGACATGTATGCCACATTCATTCAGGGATTAGTACAATTCAATTTTTCTTAATCTTATCATTTGGAAAGATACATCTGATTTTATCAGAGTAATTGTTGGGATATACATATAATTTCTATGTGTTTGTTTATTTTATGTGGAAGTTGTATTTTTATATTTTGAAAGATCCTAAATAATTATTGAAGTGGAGTATGGATAGATAGATAATAGATAGATGGATGTAGATGGAGCTAGTTCAATGACCACAAGAATTATCTTGGTTTTATAAAAGGACTAAAAACAAGTTTAATATTTCCTACCTCCTTTTAATTAAATTTATTATGTAATATAATTCAATAATATATTTTTGCATAAATTTTTCTTCTAGTTAATGTTATTGAAAGGGAATATCAGTAAATGAAAAGATATCCCTAAAAATTGAGAAGAAAAATTAATATGCCTTATCTTCCTTAGCATTCATTACAATGATTTTTATTTTTAAAATCATTTCTCAAGAAGTAAGTTGTTATATACATGTTTAGTGATAATGATCTAGGATATACCATTTAACAAATGCTTGGGCCGGGCGCAGTGGCTTACGCCTGTAATCCCAGCACTTTGGGATGCCAAGGCAGGTGGATCACGAGTCAGGAGTTCGAGACAAGACTGGCCAACATAGTGAAACCCTATCTCTACTAAAAATACAAAAAAAATAGGCTGGCGTGGTGGCCCGTGCCAGTAGTCCCAGCTACTCGGGAGGCTGAGGCTGGAGAATCGCTTGAACCCGGGAGGCGGAGGTTGCAGTGAGCTGAGTTTGCACCACTGTATTCCAGCTTGGCTGACAGAGTGAGACTCCATCTGAAAAAAACAAAACAAAACAAAACAAAACAAAAAACAAAGAAACAAATGCTTGCAGCCTTGGTTCTTTGTTTTTAGGGTATTAGTAATATTTAAGTTTAGATTGCCTAGGCTTATGACAAAAGCAAAACAAAACAAAACAAAAATCTAGCATACTCATTTAATATACCTGCCATTATTTATTTATTTATTTATTTATTTATTTATTTATTTATTTATTTATTTATTTTTTTGAGACAGAGTTTCACTCTCGTCACCCAGGCTGGAGTGCAATGGCGCGATCTCTGCTCACTGCAATCTCCATCTCCCGGGTTCAAGCTATTCTCCTGCCTCAGCTTCCAGAGTAGCTGGGATTGCAGGTGTGTGCCACCACACCCAGCTAATTTTTCGTATTTTTAGTTGAGATAGGGTTTCACCATGTTGGCCAGGCTGGTCTCAAACTCCTGACCTCAGATGATCCACCCGCCTCAGCCTCCCAAAGTACTGGGATTACAGTCGTGACCTGCCATATTTTAAGACAAAATATTTGCACTTCCTAACCATGTTCTCTTCAGCTTTAACATTCTCATTCGTTTGTGCTCATTGAGAGTTCATTGATATTCATAACTAACTGTTATCAAAAGGTGGGCAGAAAATTGGTACTGCAAAGTCAAATAGTATCCATTAGCCTACCTCTTGTTTCAATTTCCTCTACATCATTCACAGGTCAGTAAGGAAATGAAACATTATTTTTGGCTTTCTGACCTTTCTCCCCTCCTTCTATTTGTAGTTCTTGTCTGGTCCATCCGCTTTGTTCATGAGTGCAGTACTTTTCATGAGGTGGTGCTTCTGAACATTTTTGAAGAAATATATTTCGCCAGGTAGTTATTGTGGTTTCAAATTCACCAAATTATGCCAATTAATACTCCACCATTAAGAAATTTAACATACTCATATTGGTGTTTTAATAAAAATTTAATATATTTTTCTGTTGATTAAAAATTAAGACTCTCATTCCATCTATTTTATAAAAAATGATATTAAAAAGTCACCTTGAACATGATAATTAAAAATATATATGTTTTGGGCTTGTAAGTCATTATTGTATGCCATTCCGTAATTCATCCATTCAACAAAAGTTTATTTAATACAAAGAAAGCAATTCATGATATGGCAGGTGCACGCTGGAAGATTTTCATTACTAGGCTGGCTAGAGAGACATTCTATTCACATAGATTATACTCCCACAATGACTACCCAAAGATAATATCATACATCTCATTATTATAAGAACATGCTAGATTGGAAATTAGTTTGTCACAAATGAAAAGTTGTACTTACACCTATTTATTTTCATCATAGGAGTGTAAAATCTTCAACATGTAAAAATCTGCTACAGGAAAAGATGAAACCAAGCATTAAACTGTCCATATGGTTAATACATATGGATAACTGAACTCACTGTGCTCTTCTATGACATGTGTTTCTGTAAGATGAATGAAAATGTGTGCAGTTGGGGAATTGGGAGTGATGTCAGTAAAATACAGAATTCATGTAGGTCCATATGGATTTTTTTCTAATGTATCAATCTGTGTGTCATAAAGAAATAGCAGTTGAAAGCAAAGTAGAAGAATTAAATGCATTAGGCCACAGAAGAATACAGTACTGTCCATAAGCCCCTTCACACCTGATTTTTTATCTTGGCTCAGTTTGATCATGTGTTCATGTTTTGAAGTGCTTATTGTACAGTTTTCTCTGGTTATTTACATTGTACCTTTATCTTACCTCAGAAGGCTCAAGCCTTTTTCACACCATCTTTTATCTATCCATGACCATCTTTTTAAAAGGCAAAACTTTATATTTGCAATAACTTCTCTTTACTTATTAGAATGTAGTCTTTAAAGCTGTACTAATATTTTAAATAAGATAGCTATATTTTTGTTGGTGCTCTGGATTCAAACAAATTTTGTTTGCACAACTCTGTTTTTTCCATAAGCCCACTTATATATACTATTCAATATTGCATATTTCAAAATTTTTAAAATTGCATACACTGTGTTAGATTTGAAATATCTCTACTATATAACATTGAAAAAAAAGACCATTAAGTAAGTAAAATCCAAACATTTCTGAGAACAATTGGCAGTGACAGAAACATTAGTTAAGTAATGCTGTCAGTTTGGATGCCAGGCAACTTGTGAATAAAGCAAAATTCCAATGAAAAAGTAGAGGGATTTTAAAAGACATTTACATCAAAGTGAGAGAAAAATTAATGGGAAACTTTATTTCAAATGCTTCCAAATAAGTGAAAAAAATGGCTGCTAACAATACACAATCAGGAATCAAGCTGCAAGCTTTTAAAAAATAAAATACTGCATTCACAATAGCTAGACTTGAGCACATATGGAGACTTTAATTAGGTATCAATGTGACATATGAAAAATTATTTGAATGCAAAGGTCATGTTTAGGCAAAAGTAACATTGTGAAATACATTGGATTTGTGCCAGAGAAGACAGAGAAAATAAAGAAGAGCCTTTTGATTTATTTTCTTGTTCATCTATTTATCAACTTATCTACCTATCTACTTACCTTCTCACATGTGCTCATATGCATGGCCCATAAATGTTGCCAAGCATGTTTTGATCTTATTTTATTATTTTTTTCTCAGGCTTAAGTACCTATATTATTGCCTGGTGCAGGTAGAGGCTCAATAAATATTTGTTGAATAATTTAAAAACCAGTACATATATCAGTTGATTTCCTCTTTTGGAAAGATCTACTAGATTACAAGTCTTATGAGGACATGAGCAATGTCTGTCTTATTCACCATCCCAGCCCCAGGTGCCTAACATACAGAAGATACTCAGTGAATATACAGTGAGTTAATAAATTCAGGCATTGCCTACCACATAAATCCTGAAAAAGATAGATTTTAACTTTTAAAACCAGTTTCTGTGTTGCCTTATGAGATTCCTAGACATTAGCTGAGTTCCTTGACTAATAGGACCTACATCTCTTCAGTTATATTCTGGTTCTCTATAGTAAGTTTGTCTAACAAACACTCATGAAATAGATTGTGTCTTTTGATATCTTAAGAACTCCGCTGCCATATTCCAATAATTCGTCGTGGGTGTCCTTGAAGATAGCTGTAGCATAATGAATACACGTTGTGGAATTTGAATGTCTGAATTTGAATCCTATCTCTGTTCCTTGCTAGTTGTGCAAAATGCTCAAATTCTCTGCAACTCACTTTGCTTACCTATAAAATATGAATAAAGTCATACCCATCCCAGAGGATTTCATGAGAAAAATATGAGTTAATTAACACACAAGAACTTCTCAGTAGTAAATCTAACACATATTAAGTGATGAATAAATATGCCCTATGACTGCTACTTTTTGTGATAACATTTCCCTTTTTATTGTTATCCAAGGTAACTCCCTAGATATCTCTCCCACATCCACTTCTCAATCTCAGATACCTTAATCCCTTAAATCCTGCAAACTATTACTGGAAATAAACATATTAACTAATATAATATGTGACTAATCTTATGTTTAATTTAAAACTTAACTTTAGAAGATGTAATCCTCCAGATATTCCCATATATACTCACATTTAAAGAATAAATAAAAGAAGATAGTGGAAAGCAATCCCTGAAAAGTTGCTAATTTCCTTCAAATATTAAACTGTAGAGCACCACCAATTTTATTCATATTCAGAAATGTTTCCTCTTCTCCCACACATTTTATTTAAATGATGTATCTCTCTTTAATTTTATTATTTTTCATGCACGTGGTGACCCACATTTGTTACTGGCAATAAATTATTAATAAACAATGAGTCAGGATATAGCAGCTTTTTAGTAGTTGTTTCATCCATGTGTTTGCAATATGCTAGGTCACGCCATTTGCAGGATGTTTGTGTATTCACTAGGGAGCCATGAACAATGGAACTGTTGGAAATATCTGGCTTCGTGGTGTACTATAGAAAATGAAAAATTCTAGAGACAGCTGTGTAACATAAGCAACGGTTGGAGAAACTGCATCTAGAAAAATGCAAGCCTTGAGCTTCTGTGTTATAAATGAACTAGAATAAATATCATGCTCTTTCCTTGTTGACTATCTAAAGTTTATTTTTATAAGATTTGGAGTAAATGTTGCAGTACTGCAATATTTGTAAAATAATTTAGCAATGCATTCTATTTCTTAAATTATATATACATGAACACATATGTATGTATAGATACACATGCACACACATATATATGTATGTATAGATACACACACAACACGTCTCTACTTACTTTTATTATTTTTACATACCCACTATATTTACAGAAAAAAATATAAAGGCTAATATTACAACATGCAAAAAGAAACTAACTTTATATTGTGTTCTTTAAATACAGTTTTCTACGAAAACAAACCAGGATTCTTTGGAAAAAGTCAGATTACAAATCTGCGGTAAAAAAATGCACAAGTTTAGCCTAATATGTCTTGTTAATGGATGGAAATAAAATATCAAAAATCTATATGCTCATACATGGACATTTCTAGAGGTTGCTATGGTTGGAACTCATTGTTAGAAAGGAAAAAGCTCAAATATCTAGTCTATCCTTCCTTTGTGGATTATATTTCAGACAAATCAAATAGTGTGAGAAAGTTTTTTTTTTTCCCCACATAGAAGAGCCTCAGTTAATGGAGTTGGAAGAAATGATAGCATTAGAAGATTATCATTTTAAAATACCAAAATAAATGATGGGCTGTACTCCTAATGACTGCTAAACCACTGGGAGACAAATTCATGGCAAACTCTTCAAAAAGTCAGGCTGACTACACCTGAACCCAGATAAATCTTAGAATCACTAAAAGCGAATATTCAAACATTAAACACTTCCTAATGTGAAGCAATAAGAAAAAAACAGTATCCATGTAAAGTTATTTTTGCTAAAATTGTGTACCTAAATATAAACAAGTTTTTAATAGCACTTTACAGGAAATACAAGGGAAAGGGGATCTAAATGACTTCATGATGATACAATCAATGAAATTACAAATCAGAGGCACTGTTGGAAACATATCTCAGTTTCAACTCAAACGGCACAAAAAATGGAAGAAAGGATGTTACAAATTTAAAACAAGAGACATGTCAATCAAAGCACATATGTATGTCCTGTTGAGATATGCAACTAGGGAAAATATGGTGAGTTTTAGATAAATCAATAAATTATTTGTAATTCTATTGGATGTGATAATGACATTGTGGCTATATTTTATAAATATCCAGATATATTGCAAACATATACTCAAGTATTTGCAGTTGAAATTCTATGATATCTGCAATTTGTTTTTAAATACTCTGGAAAAATATGAGGGATAGAAGAACTAAATGTGTGGAATAATGATAATTGTTGGACTGATGGGTTATTGATTTAATTATATAATGCTCTATTCTTTCTAAATGTTTGAAAAACATTATAAGATAGAGCTAAAATATACAGGAAAACAAGTAAACAGGACGCTTTTGGCTGAGTATTATAGAGTGCCTACAAATAAATATGAGTATATTTGAAAATTTTAGTGAATATTAAATATGGTAGTTGAGATATGGGTAAAGGATGCTTGTTTAGTATTAGGAACGGCATAAGGATTTTAGCACCAAAAGAAAATATTGAAGTCATTATATAAGAGGATGCACAATGTCAACACAGAAAATAATGACAGCTTTAATAATCACTTTTAAGAATTTGAGGGTTGCCGGGCGCGGTGGCTCATGCCTGTAATCCCAGCACTTTGGGAGGCCAAGGCGGGCGGATCACAAGGTCAGGAGATCGAGACCATCCTGGCTAACACGGTGAGACCCTGTCTCTACTAAAAATACAAAAAATTAGCCGGGCATGGTGGCGGGCGCCTGTAGTCCCAGCTGCTCGGGAGGCTGAGGCAGGAGAATGGCGTGAACCCGGGAGGCGGAGCTTCCAGTGAGCCGAGATTGCGCCACTGCACTCCAGCCTGGGAGATAGTGCGAGACTCCGTCTCAAAAAAAAAAAAAAAAAAAAAAAAAAAAAAAAGAATTTGAGGGTACGGTTGACTGATCAGTCTTGTAGCCACATTCTGGCATCGGTTAGGTTCCAATCAGCTGTGACATTTCACCACTTCCCTGAGGGATCTGTTAGATTTCAATGGTTGAAGTGCTTGGTGCAACCAAAGAGAAAGGCATGGACTATCTAACTTTTATTCCCCTGTCAAACCATGGAGCAATAGTAAGCCTGGAGAGTTAAAACAATTCCTTTTCAGTGTTTGTAGAAGAATCTGAATCCCTGGGAGAGATCAAGAGTGCAGTTTAGGGTGGAAAGCCAGATTGGTAGAATTCTCTCCTGGCTAGATACCTAGACAAGTGTGGGGAAAGGAGCAAAAACTTGTAATAGCAAACGACTGGACACAATCTAATTCTCTACAAATAAAAAGGGGGTGTTTGAAGATACATAGATGGATGGATGGATGGGTGGATGGGTGGATGGGTGGATGGATGGATGGATAAATGGATGGATAGATGGATGGATGGAGAGAGAGCGATAGATAGATAGATGATAGATAGATTCACACACATATGCTTATATAGCTAAAAAAAGATGGATAAATGGATCAGCCAAACTAATGAAAATATTACACATGAGAGTTTGAATAAAAAAGAGATCAGAAATAAACACTACTATTCTCTGCACCTTGTTTTAAAATTTTGACTTTGGAATCATGTGTAATGTACTATATGACTATAAAACAAAATCAAATAAAAACCAAAAGTTATCTAAAACTGTTAAAACAAAAATACCCATAAATACAGAAAGAGAAAAATTATTTTAGTCACTTTAAAGCACAGGAATTAGACTCTGGAATACATTCAAAGGTTTGAAAACCTGAACTGTATCTAGCAAATATGTTTACAGAAAAAGTATATAAAAAATATAACATATATTTAATATATAATATATTATATATTTATATAAAATTTACTTATATTTATTTATTTATATTTACATATTTTATAAAGTATGTATTATATTATATATAATATATAAAATATATTTCATATATTTTATATAAATATACATAATATATAAATATATTGCATTACACTTGCAATGTAAGTGTTATGGTTAATATTGAGTGTCAACTTGATTGGACTGAGGGATACAAAGTATTAATCCTGGGTGTGTCAGTGTGGGTGTTGCCAAAAGAGATGAACATTTGAGTCAGTATACTGGGGAAGGCAGATCCACCCTTAATCTGGTGGGCACGATCTAATTAGCTTCTAGCCAATATGAAACAGGCAGAAAAACGTAGAAAACCAAGAAGCGCCTAGCCTCCCAGCCTCCATCTTTCTCCCATGCTGGATGCTTCATGCCCTCGAACATCCAAATTCTTCATTTTGGGGACTTAGACTGGCTCTGCACACAGCTTGCACACAGCCTATTGTGGAACCTTGTGATAGTGTAAGTTAATATTTAATAATCATATATCCTATTAGTTCTGTCCCTCTAAGAGAACCCTGACTAATACAGATTTTGGTACCAGGATTGGTTCTAGAGAAACAGAATATGAAGGATGGAGTTCTTCCACTGGTCCTGGGGTTTCTGGAGTTGGCTGCCTAATATGATTAGACTCAAAAATGCTAAGGACTCTACTTCCAATAGTATGGAGAACACTGATAGTCCTTGGCATGAACTGTTTAGAAAGTTATACAAAATAAATGCATTTGACACTCCTGATTCATCACTCATGAGAGGCAAGGAGTTTAGTGACTCTATACATAATACCTTTGACCATATGTGGAGAACCAAGGAACATAATGAAGCTCGTTGCTTGCTCTTAAGTTCAGTGGACAAAAATGATGAAAGAAAATGATGAACTCAGGGATTCTGTCTCCTGGCTTCAGAAGCAGATACTGAGCCTCAAATCTGTTAAGATTGCCCTCTGTGAGAATCTTATCTCCTATAGAGAAAGAGCTGAAATTGTGGAAAAACAGACACAAGCTCTTATCATGAGAATAGCTGATTTGCAACAAAAGATGCATGCACAGCCTCACCAGGTGTTTACCGTTAAAGTGAGGGTATTGATTGGAAAAGAATGGGACACTGCAACTTGGAATAGGGACATGTGGGAGGACCCTGATGAAGCTGGGACACAGAGTTTGTAAACTCTGATGAACATTTTTTTGCCAGAAGGAACAGCTTTCCCATCCCCAGTAGGGGCAGCATCCTCTCCCACACCCATGCTACCATCAGCCTTTCCACCTTTGTCTGAGGAGATAAACCCTGTGGTGCCTGAGGCAATAGTGATGGCCTTTCCTGAGGCAGTTGGCAGGCAAGGTAATGTTGATTCTCCTCAGGAGCCACCCCCAACACTTCTGTTTGCTTCTAGACCTATAACTAGACTAAAGTCCCAGTGGGCCCCTAGAGGTGAGGTTGAGAGTGTGACCCATGAGGTAGTGTGCTACCCTTAAAAACAACTGTTTGAATTATCTAATTTAGATAAACAGAAATCTGGAGGACAGGCATGGGAATAGATATTAAGAGTATGGGATAATGGTGGAAGGAATGTAGAGTTGGATCAGGCTAAATTTAATGATTTGGGCCTGCTAAGTAGAGACTCTGCTTTTAATGTTGCAGCTTGGGGAGTTAAAAACTCTTCTAATAGTTTGTTGGCTTGGTTAGCCGAAACATGGATTAAAAGATGGCCCACTGTGAGTGAACTGGAAATGCCTGATCTCCCTTGGATTAATGTAGAGGAAGGGATCCAAAGGCTTAAGGAGACTGGGATGGTGGAGTGGATTAGTCACTTGAGACCTACTCATCCCAGCTGGGAGGGTCCAGAAGATATACCCTTGACCAATGCCTGTGAAATAGATTTGTGAAGGCAGCATCTGCGTCTTTGAAGAGCGCCTATAATTGCTCTTCTCTGTATGTCAGATTGAAGAATGGGAACCGCAGTCACTCAACTACAAATTTTAAATATGTTGGGAATAATTGCATCCCGAGGTGGCAGGGGCCAAGTGATAGCACTCAATTGTCAAAGGCAAGGTGGGTATAGCTGCTGTAATTAACAGCAGAGGCAAAACAACAATCAGAATTGTCTGACTCATGTACAACTCTGGCATTGACTAATAAATTATGGTGTTCCTAGAAGTTAAATTGATAGGAAGCCTATGCCACTTGAACATTTTGGATTTGGGGCTCCTCCTACATTTAAGTCAACAGGCTAAGAAGGGACTTACAGTGTTGGCTGGGGTGATTGACCCAGACTATCTAGATGAAATCAGTCTACTACTCCACAATGGACGTAAGCATCAAATATAGGACATCCATTAGGGCATCTCTCAGTATTAGCATGCCTTGTAATTAAGGTCAATGGAAAACTACAATAGCCCAATCCAGGCAGGACTACAAATGGCCCAGACCCTTCAGGAATGAAGGTTTGGGTCACTTCACCAGGAAAAAACCATGACCTGCTGAGGTGCTTACTGAAGGCAAAGGGAATACAGAATAAGTAGAAGAAAGTAGTCATCAATACCTGCTATGACTATATGACCAGCTGCAGATATGAGGACTGTAATTGTCATTAGTATTTCCTCCTTCTTTTGTTAAAAACATATTTGTACATGTATACCCTTGTACTAAGAAAATATCTTCATTTTATTTCCTTTTTCTTTATTATGTGGCATAAAATTTATTGACTTCATATCAACGTTTAAGTATTGTTAACTTTATGTAATAGTATTTGGGTTGGGGATTGGTGCATTTCCAGTTGTAGGAAGGATAGTTGTATTATGTTAGCTATAATTATGACCTTATTACTGTCTTTATTTGAAGATTATGTATGATCTCAGGAGATGTGTATGGGTTCAAGTTGACAAGAGGTGGAGTTGTGATGGTTAATACTGTCAACTTGATTGAATTGAGGGATACAAGTATTGATCCTGGATGTGTCTGTGAGGATGCTGCCAAAAGAGATTAACATTTGAGTCAGTGGGCTGGGGAAGGCAGATCCACCCTTAATCTAGGGGGCACAATCTAATCATCTTCCATCAAATATAAAGCAGGCAGAAAAACATGAAAAAGTGAGATGGGTCTAGCCTCCCAGCCTCCATCTTTCTCCTTTGCTGGATGCTTCCTGCCCTCAAACATTGGATTCCATGTTCTTCAGTTTGGGGACTCGGACTGGCAGTCCTTGCTCTTCAGCTTGCAGAAAGCCTCCTGTGGGACCTAGTGATCATGTGGGTTAATGTTTAATAAACTCATATATATATATCCTATTAGTTCTGTCCCTGTAAGAGAACCCTAATACAGTATTATATTAAACAGAATATTTTAAACTTCATATGCATGTATGTTTGTATACATATGTACACACATGTACCTATATGTATATAATAGAAAATTAGTAAATTATAATAAAATATTTAGGAATTAAGATTTTCAAAGTAAGAATAAAAAGATCACAATATGAAACTTAAAAAGTTAAGTAAATATAGTAAATAAACTTATGATGTATTTTTCCCTTTTAAAGAAATGTACTTTTTAGCTCATGCCACTGAAAAGGCCTAAAAGCAATGTCTAAATCAGAAAGCAGTGATTACCACAAGTCCCCAGGTATGAATCCTCGTGATGGATAAAACCTAAAGTGACCCCCAATGAATCATGCCCTTATATAATCCCCTCCCCCTTGAGTGTGTGCAGAACTTGCCTCTAGCTAACAGAATGAACAAAGATGATGAGGTGCCACTTTCATGATTAACTACAAACTCTCTATGAGCAGGTTTTAGTGAGAAAGATTCTCCTGCTGGCCTTGAAGATGCAGACTGCTGTGACGTGAACTACCTAGGAGAGAGGGTCGTGTGGCAGGAAATTGTATGTGGCATCCAAGACTAGACAGTGGCCTCCAGCTGACAGTTGATAATAAGCTGTGCCTTTAGTCTCACAGCCACAAGAGAATGAATTCTGACACCCAACTAAATGAATTTGGAAGCAGATTCTTCTCTAGTCAAGCGTGCAGATAAAAATTCAGTACAGCTAACTGCTTGAGTTCAGCCTTGTGATACCCTGAGAAAAAGACTGAGATAAGTCATGCCTAAATTTCTGACCCACAGAAATTATGGACGTGTGTGTGTGTGTGTGTGTGTGTGTGTTTTAAGAGACTACTTTGTGGAAATTTGTCACACAAAAATAGGAAACTATTATAGACTCGAAATACTTTTTATCACTAAGAGGAACCAAGAACCCTTGAATAATTGACTGGTTTCAGATCTGCCTATAGAAATATACTAGAAATATACTAGATAATGCTAAACATGTTTTCATACCAGAAAGCAAATAATCTTAAAAACTATGGTGGTTTTGTTAAAACAGCACATAGGAATCAACTTGAAGACCGTCTATAGGTTAGATATGAGAAAATTTGATATCAAGAAAAATAGTGAACAGCAAAACACTGAAATGTATTAGATAGGTTACATTCTAGGTATTCCAGTGAAACCCCCTTGGTTAATTTTGAAACTTGGTGTGGCATCATATTATTTCACTGGCACCATCTCATTATCTCAAACTATTATAGAAAAGGAAAGATGGCATCTATGTTATCTTTAATAAATGAACACTATAAGTTAATGTAAATAGTGGATATATAAAAATTATTTGTAGGAGAATCCTAACTTAGAAATGCAGAAAGTGATAAAATTAGAATATAACTGTTCTCCAATCCCTAATAAACTGATGCACCTAGGCAATTATCAATAGCTACTTTAAACTATTAGGTAAAAAAGCTGATGGCATCTTTACAAGAGGATAAGCCTAACCACCTAACCCTACCTATCAACCTTAACTTCACTTTAAAAGAGAGACAACCAGACATAATGGTTTTTCCTGATGTGATGCAGTAGGAAGCTCAATGAACTTCCTATGAAATGACCTTGCCAAATTGTTGAACATGAATCTCATAAAGTACCAGATCTGTCATGTTTTTAAACTTTTATTTTGACATAACAGGCTTTCAGAAAAGTTGCAAGAATAGTACAAATAATTTCCATACACTTTTCATCCAGCTTACCCAAATATTAACATTTTGCCATATTTATCTTTCTTCTTCCTGTTCTTCCTCCTCTTCTTCATTCTTTCTCTTTCTCTCTTTAAGTATGAATACATGCAGTAATGCATAGCTTAATGACAAGGCTATGTTCTGAGAAATGTGTCTTCAAGTAATTTCATCATTGTGTGAACATCATAGAGTGTATTTACACAAACCTAGATAGTACCACCTACTACATACTTTGGCTATATGGTAAAGCTTATTGCTCCTAGGCTACATACCCGTACCATGTGTTATTGTTTTGAACACTGTAAACAATTGTACCACAACAGTAAGTATTTTTGTGTCTAAACATATCTAAACAAAGAAAGGTAATATATTGCTCTATGATGTTATGAAGGCTATGATGTCAATAAGCAATGGGAATTTTTCAGCCCCATTAGAATCTCATGGGACTACCGTTGCATATCATCATTCACTAAAACATTATTACGTGGTATGTGACTGTGTGTCTATATAAACATATAAGTATATATTTATATATGTTCACACATATATGCATTTTTTATAAACCACTTAATAAGTTATAGATACGACATTTTCCCCCTAAACATTTCAGTGTGTTTTTCTAAAAATAAGGACATTCTGTTACTAAGCCACGGTACAATGATAAAAACCAAGAGGAGATAGTCATATAATAGAATGAACTGTTTACAGACTTTATCAAATTTTGTCATTTGTCTCAATAATGTCTGTTATAGGAAAATGAAATCTCTCATTATGCATTGCTTTTAGTTTTCATGTCTCTTTAGCATCTTTTAATCTGTAACAGTTCCTCAGTCTTCTTTTGTCTTTTTAATGACAGCAACATTTTTTTAAAAG
This sequence comes from Homo sapiens, assembly GCF_000001405.40. Classification (NCBI taxonomy): domain Eukaryota; kingdom Metazoa; phylum Chordata; class Mammalia; order Primates; family Hominidae; genus Homo; species Homo sapiens. The sequence continues at coordinate 188,807,419 of NC_000002.12, forward strand.
TGCAGTAGAGTTGTGTTTTTTTCTTCTATTGAATATCGTTGTATTTGAGTACCTTCCATTATATGGGAAATACAGGAGAATGAGGAATATGTTAAAAAACACTGTAGGCAGCCAGCCATGATGGTTTATGCCTGTGATCTCAGCATTTTGGAGGGCCAAAGCAGAATTATTGCTTGAGGTCAGGAGTTTGAGACCAGCCTGAGCAACATAGTGAGAAAAAAATAAAAATAATAAAAAAATAGCCAGCCATGGGGGGTGCTCCCCTGTAGCCCCAGCTACTTTGGAGGCTGAGAGTGGAGGCTACAATAAGCCTTAATCATGACACAGCACTCCCGCCTGGGCAAGAATGTGACCCTGTCTCAAACAAATAGAAAACACTGCACGGGCAAACAGACAAATCCAGAATATGAGAACTTCCACAGGACAAAAGTCTTGGTTTCTTCAACAAATTAAAGACTATAGAAAAGAAAGTGATTATTATGGATTGAAAATCACAGGGAATATATTCAAATGTACTATGCAGAACTGATTAAGATTCTGATTTTAATGAGCCAACTTTAAAATGTACATGTTTAGCAGTAAGATAAATTTGAAATTTGCTAGATATAAAGAATTATTGTGAATTATTAGATACAATAATGCTATCATTATATAATTTTCAAAAATATTTCTTGTCTTCTAGAGATATATGCTGAATTGCTTATGGTTAAACTGATAACATCTAGTTGGTGGTGAAGCGGATAGGCATAGATAAACAAGAATGCTTATATATTAATTAATGAATATCTTGGGACATAGGTACATGAGGAGTTGTTATATCATTCTCTTCCTTTTGTATATAATAGAAAGTGTCATAATTAAACATTCTAAACAAAGATCTGTGGAGGGGTGAATAGGCAGAGCACACAAGATTTTTAAGGCAGTGAGAAGACTATATGCTATTTTAATGGTGGATACATGCCTTTATACATCTGTCCAAACCCATGCAATGTACAATACTGAGTGAACTTTAAGGTAAACGATGAACTGTGGATGATTATAAGTGAGAGCTGAACAATGAGAACACATGGACACAGGGAGGAGAATAACACTTACAGAGGCCTGTTGGGGGAGGGTTGGGGGTAAGAGCATTAGGGAAAAGAGCTAATGCGTGCTGGGCTTAATACTTGGGTGATGGGTTTATAGGTGCAGCAAACCACCATGGCACGTTTACCTATGTGACAAACCTGGACATCCTGCACATGTACCCTGGAACTTAAAAAAAAATTAAAAAATAAAGTCTTTGTTTAGGCAGTCAAAAAAATAAACAATGTAGGTTTATTAATTGTAACAAATGTGTCACTCTGGTGGAGGACGTTGATAATGGATGAGGCTGTGCATAAGGCAGTATACATATGGGAAATGTCTGTACTGTAACTTCCACTCAATTTTGCTGTGAACCTAAAACTGCTCTAACAAAATAAAGTCTATTTTAAAAATCAAACTAACTGAAGGACTGAATGCCTAACCATGAGACTATTAGATGGTCAAACTCCCTTTGCTCATGAAGTATGGGTTATCTGATGCATCTACCCACAAGGCCTGGTATGAACATTAATGGAAGTCTAATAGATGAAATTTGCTCCAAGACAGTTCTGGAAGCATATATAATTTGCATGAGCTGGTGACTCACATTCCCAGTGGGCCAATTCTTATTCCAGTTCTACCATTCTCTCAACTTATTATCACAAATGACCTCCTAGGGAATTTCTTACCATCAGTTGACTAAAGAGAAAAAATTTTAATCTGTTTTAGGGCTCCATGCCATATGCATATAGCAGCTGGAAGTTTAATTCTGTAGTAAAAAACTGTACTTAGATGGGTTCTAAAGGATAATGGAACTAGAAAACATTTGCTTTGGCAAAATTTTGAGTGGCATATCTCAATCTTAGGATCAAACACCTTGCAAAATACTTTTACATTTTGCCTGAGATGGGTTGAGGTTAAGATTTCTATTCATTGACAATTTAGGAATTGTCAATTTATGAATTGTAGCCTTTCAAAGTAGGTTCAGAATATGCAAATGTCCATTGTGAAGGATGTTCTTAATATCTAAATGGAAATGAAGAACTGTTATAAGCATGCTGACCAGCCCTCTTTCCCTCACTTCAGTCCTAAATCTATGTGCTCATGGTAGTAAGAGATTTCATTCATGGTTTCAACCATACTGATCTTCCATAGCAAGGCTGACTTGGCTAGCAGCTTTCTATAAGAAATGAACCATTCTTAGCCTCTGTGTTGGTACCACCACCTGAAGGTCTATCAGCCTCTTGGTAGATTATATAGAATTTCATTATCATGGAGGAGGTTGTGATTTGTTATCACTACAATAGATTCTTATACTATATATGGCTGCTTTTTATTTTTCTTTCCCTATCTGCAGATTTCTTCTAGTACCTCCATCAATGTGCTTACTGGTTGTGTTATTCAACTTGGTGGTATTCCACAGAACATATCTGGCTAATAACCAAGTATTTTACTTACCATGCACACTATTACCAAGAAACAGCTAGTCTCGAGGGACAAGGAAATAACAAAAAAAGACTCAATTACTGTGCCACCTGGGAGATAAAACTTGAGGAGATAGAGGTAGAATTTTATGTGGTGTGATATAAATCCTGAACTAAAAGTAAATATTGTTGTTGCTCCACTAATCAAAATTCTGGGATGGTTCTGGGTTGAATATGAGGATATCTCTAACTATTACAGCTGCTCTCATAATATTTTACTTCCTACTCTCATCACTGTATGTTCTAACAGTTTGGAGATATTAAGAACAAGGATATTGTAATTCCATTGGAAACTTCAATTTCAGCCTACGTCTGCCTCCGACTGACACTGGTTAAAAGAAAAAGATGGGGAGGCCGAGGCGGGCAGATCACGAGGTCAAGAGATCAAGACCATCCTGGCCAACATGGTGAAATCCTGTCTCTACTAAAACTACAAAATTAGTTGGGTGTGGTGCTGCACGCCTGTGGTCCCAGCTACTCGGGGGGCTGAGGCAGGAGAATCACTTGAACCCAGGAGGCGGCGGTTGCAGTGAGCTGAGATCACGCCACTGCACTCCAGCCTGGAGACAGAGCGAGACACTGTCTCAAAGAAAAGAAAAGAAAAAAAAAGAAAGAAAGAAAAGAAAAAGAGGATGTAATTTTGCAAGGTGTTAGATCTTAAGATTATTGAACAGATTTCTGTTAATACAATAGGAACAGGAAGAAGAATGACTAAAACTTAGGGTGTTCCCTGGAATACATCCTAGAACTGCCATATGTCATGATAAAAACTGTAGAAAGATTAGAGTAATGCTATACAGATAAGACTGCCAAGTATTTTGTCACCCGCTTAGTAAAATCTCCCAACAAGCTATGATGCTGGTTGATGACAAAAGAATCATGAAATGGGGTGGAAGAGGAAAGTCATAAATACCAACTACGACCTCATAACTTTTTGATGAAACAAGGTCTCTAAAGTCTTTCTTCCTGTGACATGTAAACACTTATGTATTCTAATTAGTACTCTCCTTTTCTCTCTTTTTTTCTCTGCCATTACATGACCATATGGTAGTAGCAGCTAATTTTACAGTTTATGTATCAGTTAAGACATATCTGAATCATTACCAAACTAGATTATAAATTTTATTTTTGCTTAGCAATCTTGGACCTGTATTTGAAAGCACTAACTCTGAAGTCTTTGTCTTGTCTGTCATATATGATATAGGCAAAAAATACTTTATGTTGTACCTGAGAAAGGATACATTTTGATGTTTATTAGCCAAATATATGAACTTTAATAGACATTTGCCATTATTTGAAAAAAATATTGCTATATGTCCTAACTCTCCTTCATGTTTTGGGGGAACTCCTCATTTTATGAGTACTGTTGGCAAGTAGAGTGCTCCTTTTTTCTTTATGAAACCTAAAGATGCCTGCTTGCTTTCCCAGTCTCACTTGGAGCTAAGGTGCAAACCCATGATCTAGGTCCACTAATAAAATGTACACACCTCAGACTTTGAATCAAGAGCTAGTGGTGCTAAGACTGGAACATACATATAATTCTGCAAGAGGCCATGGTGATAACACCAAAATGATGCTCTTCAGTCAGCAGTGGTATTAAGTCTGAAAGAAGCATCCAGACAGCAACATATTCAGAGTGGGTTGGTATGAAAATTAAATGAGATTTTATGAGTCATGGTGTTACACAATGTTCTGATGGTTGTGTTCTTAACAGCTAATTCCAGCCACTGAGATATGGAGGCCACGTTTATAATTGTGGCTCCTTTTCAGGCCACTCAAATCCTGTTCTACTTCATTTGTCTCATACTCAGTTTCTCCAGTTCTGCCTTTTTCTGATTGCTGAGTTGGTTGGAAAAAATGTCTGGACTTGATTTTGCCCCTGAATCACCTTTAATTCCATTCTTTTCACATAAGTAAATGTCTTTCTTGTTCCCTTATTTAGTCAAGCTCTGTAAAAATATTAATTCAGCCCAGGTACACAGTCTGGATTCCCATATATCTACAAAAGGGAAGCTAATATTAAAAGCAAGGTACTATGAAAACCATGCGATAAACTCATTTTCTCCATTAACTTTCTTGTAATTACGTTTCATCTTTTCCCATGTTTTTAAAAGCAAAATCTCAAAGACAGTTAAAGTTTGTCTTAGGTAACTTTCTGTTATAGTGCAAATTCAATAATTTTAAAAGGTATGTTCTAATTATAGAAAAAGTATTAAATAATGTTCTACCAAAGGAGGAAAATAACAGCAGATACAAAGATAAGTTTTAGAATAACAGAAGGTGAAAATTATTATTTAGGGAATATTTGAAGACCAGAAAATAGCAACTGGGTCAATGATTAATGTGATAAAGAAAATAAATCACCCTCCCTCTCTCCCTATTTTAATTTTTCCCTATTCATATTGATGTACAATAAACCAGCAAATCAATAATTATTTCAAACAACTGGTCAGAGATCTACTGCTAATTAGATTGGGGCTGCAGGCTAGAAAACAGGCAAAGAGCAAACACTTTGATGGGAAAGAAGGGCCATTACCGAGGATGAAAACAGTATACTAAGAAAAGACAAATGATGCCATCATGAACTGAAGACCATCTTTATAACTGCTTATCTTCCATGATATTTACCCTTACCTTGTCACAAAGGGCAGCACACAAAGACTAGTCAGTATTGTGTGGCCTTGTACTTCAGCAGGTTGGCAGAATGTTATTGAGCTGTGTAAGGTAGGTCACGATGTACTACGGGTTTATAAACTTGGTAACTTCATTCAATAAAATAAAGCAAAACAAAAGTGAGTAAAGGCTTTATATCCACAGAATTTAATTGAAATATTACCGCATTCTTTGCTTTCCAAGTTACTAAAATCCACATATGTTGAAAAAGTTAGTAACATAGTTCTTTTTTAATGGCCACGATATCCCCCATGATGCTTAAGGAATTCCTCGGCAGCCTTTACACTGAGGCTATACGAACCAGCCACATGAGAGAAGCAGTGCTAAACCAAGGTAAGGTTGAACTTTTCAGATACACCATACTCTAATGGAAGCATCATGAAGACCTGCTGGATAGAGAGTATTTAGTGGTCCAATAGCGCTGCTGTTGAGGACCTTTCACTGTGGAAAAAGGGGGCCTCTGTTACCTTGTTTATAAATGAAATGTACTGCAATTATCTCAATATTTATTTCTTGCTGAGCATGGGAGTTATTGGGAGCAAGTGCTGATGAAATGCAATGTTATTTATCTCTTTTTGCTTTACAATAGAAAATTAAATTAAAATGATGTTAAATTGCTGCTTAATAAAAAATGATTGGTATGGTTTTTTTTTTAAGGCATTTTTCTTAAGAGTGCAGAATTCTCACTTGTGCTTTGATGGATTTCTCTGGTACTAGATGATATAGCTCTATGAATGAAGTAAGTTTTTAAAATAGTCTCATGTCGGGTTTAATGAAAAAAATTGAAAACCATATGTATAAAAAATATAGCTGTTACTAGACAATTTTAAACCACATTGATATGTCATAGGCAGAAAAATATTTTGATGACTAACTGTGGTTATCTTAACTAAGGTCTTCTTGTGTATTCATTTTCTAACTCATTTCTTCAAAGACATTAAGTTGACTTTGGGATCCTTCTTACCATGGTAAGTAAGTAACCAGCGTGTGCTTTTCCAAAACTCTGTGGGGAATCGTAATTTTCTGTGAAGGATTTTCCTAAATGTTGAAATGTCCTTCCTGATTCCCAATGACTAAATTCCTATTTGGCTTGAATTTTTATAACAAGACTTTGGAAACCATTTTTTCCCAGAGAAACATTTCACATTTAACTAATGTTTCTGCAAAACTAGGTAAAACCTAGATTGTCTGAAACTGAATGCCCCCTGCATTTAGACCATGTGTCTATGTGGTTCAGGCCCAGGTGACAGAGCACTTATTTCTCACTCTCAGCAGTAAATTTTAGATTGGTTGAACAACCCAGACACCTTCAGCATTTCTAAGTCACAGAATCAGTCTAGGAATGTGTCGGTGAGATGAGGCTTAGTACTGGCCAAAGTCTGGAAATAGTCAGTGTAATACTGTGAGCTTCTGGGGCTGGGCCCAACGTTGACTTAAGACAGGAAATGTGTGCTCCGTGGCTCTCTGTCAGACCTACTTGGGCCTAGGTAAGACGTGCAGAAATCACAAAACGTACTTGGGGTTTTATAGCTCCAACTGGTAAATTCAACATTAAGCCTCCTTTTCCTGCTTTCTGACCTAATAGGAATTCTCTTCTTAGTTGTGTTTAAATACTACCTAGTGTATTTTGGCTTTTGGTAAGTAGAAAAGCAGAAGTCTACAACATGTGCTATGTCTCTCAATTTCAGACTGCAGTGATATCATAAGTAAAAGGAGCACCATTCATCACATGGGGCAGGCTAGAAAAATTAGGGAAAAAAGAGTTATTTTTCTATAATAAAATCCAGACTGAAATTGAAATGGTGAAGAAAAAATGCAGAAAAAAAAGGAGATGACCCTGACTCGTATATTTTAAGACTTGAAAATTATTAAACTGAGCTATTTTAAATTTATTTATATAATATAAATAATATATATAATTGATACATTGTTTTATTATAATTTAGTACTTAGTATATAGATTAAAACAAAAATATAAACAAATCATTAAGTGTAGGGAAATATATTTTGCTTTAACTTTAAGCAATGCTTATTTTAACAATCCATTTGCCATCAGAGGTACCATTTATAACGTAGGCAACCCTCCCCACTTTAGTTCTTGCTGAGCTTCAGGTTGAAACAGAGACCATATCAAGTAAATTATACAGAAGCCATAATATTGATAAAATTTGGAAGGAAAACTGCTTTGATGGTAAACTTTTCTTTCTTTGAAAGAAAACCTAATGTAAATCATGAAGGTTTATTCTTCCCGTAATCTAAGAGAATGACTTAAGAAGGAAGTAATAAAGTAGAAAAGTTTACTCATGTTTATGAACATATGTTTAACTAAAAATTAAACACTATGTTTTGTGAATGAGATTAGTAAGCCAGACGCACATTTTATTTTATTTTATTTTATTTTATTTATTCATTTCTAAATTTAGAGACAGGCTCTCACTCTGTCACCCAGGCTGGAGTGCAGTGGTTCAATCAAGGCTCACTTTAGCCTCTACCTCTCCCGGGCTCAAGTGATTCTCCAACAGCTTTCTCAGTAGCTGAGAAATAGGCCCATGCCACCATTTCAAGATAATTTTTTAAAATTGTTTCATAGAGCTGGGGTTTTGCTATGTTGCTCAGGCTCGTCTCAAACTCCTGGCCACAAGCAATCGTCCCAACTTGTCCTCTCTAAGTGTTGGGATTACAGGTGTCAGCCACCATGCCTGTACAACATATTATAAGAAGTAAACTGTAATTATATAATTATTAAAACCTTTCGATGTTAACAAGGTCTATAACTTTAAGTCAGAAGCGTGAATCGGGCTGAAAATGTAAAGCTAAGAGATTACCATTTAGTTCTTCCACTTAAAAGGAGTAATGCATTACAATATGAAGTATTTGTTGTGTTTTCCATACTACTTTGTTTTCAGAAAGATAATATCTCAGGCTTTCCTTAATGTTCATATCCTAGAATGGTTTAAGCATTATTACTTTTATGAGCATTTAAAATTTCTTACAGAGACCATCATTATTCCGTGGTTATTAATTAGACCTCACACTGATAAAATTGATACAGTATTTTCAATTGTCTCCACAAATTCAGTGAAGTCAACTCCAGAATATAGTAAAAACAGTGTCTGACATGCTATATTTCAATTTTTCTATTACATAAGTTCATTAAAAAAGAGGGGTACATGCTTTTTATATCTCATTTAGATGAAGCTTAGCTAGTATTGTTGCAAATGGCCATAAAATACAGTGCCTTTTATTACATTTAAAATGCATTTATCCATATATTCATTTATTTGGCAAAGCATTGTACTAGGAGTTTGTGAGTAATCTGGCTAAAATAAACAAGACTATGTCTCATAAAATCAGAGATGTTGTGTCTTGATAGGCTAAAATAAATTTGAAAGCTATCTTGACAAATGAAATAAATTATTAATATTTTGCCTTTATTCATTTCTTTAGATAAAATAACATGTGTCATGGGGATAGAGATGGGATGGTAGAAGGTAAAATGGTGAAGTAGGTGGGATGAAGGGAATCAAAACAGAGGGACTCAGAGATAGAAGGCAACATCACTGCATTTGTCCACTTATGACTTGTCCAGCGTGACAAACCTTTGCTTTAGTATTTCTTTAAATATCTTGTTTTTCATTTTAGATCTGTAAAAACTCATTTAAAAGTTTGTATTTCATTTACCATAAAGGTAGTTATTCTATAAATATCCCCCCAGATTGAAAACTGGTACTCAAATACATGTGCACACATATTCATAGTAACAATATTTCCAATAGCCAAGAGATGAAAACAGTCTAATGTCCACCAACGGATACATGGACAAACAAACGGTGGTACCTTGATACTATGGAATATTGTCTATCCATAAAATGTAATAAAGTACTGTCACATGCTACAATTTGGATAAACCTCAAAAATACTATGCTAAGTGAAAAAAAAACAGACATAAAAGTATGATTTCATTTATTTGAAATATCCAAAATAGGTAAATTCATAGAGAGAGAATGCAGATTGGTAGTTGCCAGGGACTGGGAGGATGTGGAAATTGTGAACAACTGCTAAATGGTATGGATTTTTCCTTTGGAGGTGGTAAAAATGTTTTGGAACTAGCTAGAGGTGGTGGTCGAACAGCATTGTGAAGGCACTGAATGTCATTAGATTGTTTATTTTAAAATGGTTAGTTTTACATTATTTAAATTGTACCACAATTTTAAAAAGTTAATATTTTAATGAGTCCTTCTATTCAGTCAGATGCAAAGTAAATTGGCTATTCAAAATGAAAAGAAACATTATCACTCAAAGAAAATAATTCTAATAAAATATAAAAAATGTATAGAGCACTTTATCCATGTGTTCATCTGAGCATACTGATTTTCTTACCTCCAGAATTTATATCTTCAAGTAAGTTATGGATTTTTAATAGATTCTGGGAATTTAGAGCCACTAATCCATATTTCATATTTTTAATAATTAAACACCATTCTAATATAAGCATATTGTAATGTAACTTTTTCATATTTATACCTATAACTTTGTCAAATTATTTAATCTCTCTAATAGTCAATGTATCTGACTCTAAAAGGAAGAAATTGCCTTGTCAATGGTGTGAACCAGGAGCATACAACAGGAATACACATGTATATTTCTATCTCAAACCTTATGAATCAAACATGAAGGGACAGTGTCCTAGTGGGCATGTTTTGAAAAATCTTCATCTTCTCATATTCTAATTAATAACTATGAGATCAAATGATCTCTACTTTCCCTTACTTTTCATAAATTATATGAGAGTAACATAATTATGGCCAAATTATGAACCAAACCATTAGTGGACTTTCATACATTAAATATATAATCACAAATATTCACTGAATAATATTTCAGATTATTTCGTTTTGCATAGTTAACAATGGAAACTATTTCCAAATTTTAATTCTGCATGTGTATACAAATTCTAGTTTTTAACTTTTGGATTTTCATTTACTATTTTAGAACATAAAGATATATATATATATATATATATATGGAAGTAAAGTACATATTAATTTTTTATATATAAATATAACTTTTACATGTAATATATAAATAATAAATTTTTCAGACATTTGGAAAGTTTTTGAAGAATATTGCTTGCAAGTTATTGTGAAATTTGTATTTTCCCATAGATTATTTACTGAAATATGTGATGACTATTCATAAAATGACACGATGCCATATTTTTGTGGGTAGCCACAAAAGTAGGCAATCAGACAGCCATTTATTGCAACAAACAATTCTTAATGACTTGCACCCTGAAAACTATAGAAACCAACTACAGGAACTCAAAAATTATTCCAAACACTAATATTCAACCCTTATGACATATAACATCTCTCCAATTTAACTGTGTGTGTCTATTTGTCTGGCTGAGTTATCTCTCTGGATGTAAACTGTCAGTTGATTCTGATTTTAGTAGCCATATGATTCTCGATTTATTCACTTTCTAATTGTAGTAATTTCTAGATCACAAGATAGGAAAAAACCGTTGTCAAAACTCTAGAGGAGTAGCATTTAATGGTTTTTACATGTCAAATTTTGCTAACAAGTTCACTTCAGAAAACTTAAGACAGTGCCAAGAATATAATACGATACATGGTCATTTGCTTTCCAGTCCTTATAGGACACAGGTGTTATGATTTTGATTTTAGTAGCAGAAGCTTTTAATTTGTGCTACAAGTGGGTAATTTGGTGTAGATAGAGCAGCTTAATTTTCTTTTCGGCTGCAATTAACTTTAGATGAAATCGTCAGATTAACTCAAGATATAGGTATCATAAAATTATTTCATTCAAGAAATGTTTATCAAATATCAGGTGCATGATAGGCTGTCTTTTTGACACTGAAATTAAAATGAGACCCCGTCCCAGACTTAAATATATGTACCATTTACTTTCAGAATCTAGAAAAGTAATAATGACCGTAGTAGAATAACATCTATTTATTAAGCCTTAGATGTATTTCCAGCCCAGGGCTAAGCACCAGGGTTGGATATTAAGAACAATAGCCTTTGTTCCAGAAATTTATTATCTACTTGGAGTGAAAGCCACCAGGTTTGTAACATAATAATGAAGAGAAGCACAGGGTGCTTTGGGAGCTCAGGAGGGACAGCTGACATAACTTGGACTGGGGGTAGAAGGAGGCCAGGAAAGAACATTGAGAAAGATCTCAGGAGGAAGTCATCTCAGGAGGAAGTCATGCTTTCAAAATTAAATCTTAGAGGGTTTGGAACTAGTCAGACAAAAATTATGTTAAGAAATATATGGTGATAATATATGCACAAAGTGCTACAAAATTACCAATTATAGCTTTAAATTATAGTTCATGGGAGATTCAGGAAATATTTATGGGAAAAATGTTATTAAGCCTTGATTTTGAAGAATGAATGGTATCAACCAGGTTGAGATGAGAAGAAAGAGAATTTCAACAAAAGTTAAAAAACACGTGCAAAGAATCCAAGTATGAAAGTAGGTATTTGTTTGATCTTACTATGAGCATTCTGTTAGATGCACACACCCTTCCTGAGGGGCCTCCCAGGGATGTGCTTTGTTGTGAAAGTGTTATGTCTTCATCTTACAGAATAGCAGACAATAGATAATGTCTAATCTTCAAAATTATCTTCTGGAGTAGACAGATAACAGATAATATCTAAAACTTAAAAATCAAAGGACAAGTAGCAAATTTTGCTCCTCCTCCCACTACCCCCCCCCAAAGAAAAGCAAATAATCAACAAGGAGAGAAAACAACTCACATAATTCAAACATGAAAATATTGGGTATTTCTGAGCCAAGGAATTTTCTCATATTCCTAAAAGCTTGTTCAGGAGCTATTTAATTCATTATGGGATATGGTGGTTCAGTTTTCTCCTGCTTCCTGTTGTCTTATGAGGGGAAGACTTTTCCTAACTCATGTCTACCTAATTAGAAGAAACTGAGGCAAAAATAAAACAAATAAAGAGCTTATTTAGGCCAAGCTTGAGGATAGCAACCCGGGAGCATAGATTTAAGTTGCTCTGAATATACACTCTGATTAGCAGCAATTACAAGTGGATTTTTAAAGGCAAAAAAAGGGGGAAAGGGAGTGAGCTGATAACAAAGTTTTTTTGTCAGGAATTCTCATTGGCTTACAGAAATAACATTGATTGGTGGTTAGCTATACACTGTTAAGTTATCCAGCGTGGTTTATCGTGTCCAGTGTGGCATTATTAGGTTAATTTATGGCTACTTGTGGCAACAGAATGTAGTTTTAAGAGATGAGTACACAGCTCAAAGCAGGCAGGAAGGAGGGGTGTCTCTCTGGGCTTGATAATTAAAAGAACTTGCATTCCTCAGATAAAAGTTATTTTCTCTTCTCACTTGAAAAAAGCCTTATCTGTTCTGTCATCTTTTACGCAGTTTCTGGGAAAGATAGTGTTGCAGGCAGAAAGGTTGCATGCTTTGTTTCTCAGTTGTTCTTGCTGGATTATCATTTTTTCTTTTTTCTTTCTCTGTATAGAAACATCACAAAGGCATATCTCCACTTGTCCTTGTAATATGAATCTTTTCCAGCAATAATTCCTAAAAACTGTAACCTATAAGTCTCCACTTACTTTTAAGCCCCTTCCACACACTATCAAGTCCCAACCTGTGCCCAGTATGTTAAAATTTAGTGTTGGACTTTTCCTTTCTGAGAATTATTTTGTTTGTCTTTCATCTAAGTCCTCTGCACCCTTGGACTCTTTTTAATGAGTTTCATAAGCCTTGACTTCTCTTATTTCCACATTCATAGGTTTGAGCAGTAGGTGCTGGAAATTATGGTGGAATTTGACTTAACACTTAGAGGCAATAAGTTTGTGGAATGAGCTTTGTGTGTTGTTATAAAAGGCACATGGGTAATTCAAATTAGGGGGGAAAAAACTCAGGAAGGAGTGGATCCTTGGATCCAGTACTGAAGGCAGTTGGTTGAGTAGACCCCAGATCATTATGCCTACTCTGTATCTAAGAATAATTTCTACCTCCAACCCCCAACACACGCACAGTTCAAGGCAATGCCTGAATATCACTGTGTTAATATCATGGCAACAATATTCCTAACTTTCTTCTAAATAAGGAAGGATATGAAATCAGACACTTCCGGCCCAGCACTCATTCAGACTAAGTTAAGTGGAAACATTGAAGCATACATAATTTGACAGATGCTCAATTATAACCCAATGAGAATATAAATAACTTTTATTTCATACTTCAAGGACAAATGATAAAAATTTTATTTTACTTTTTCTGTATTGCCTAAAATATTTAATATTGACCTTAAGTTTCATTCATCTGCCACGAAATAACTTGGTAAATACTTAGGGATTTCCAACATTTCTAGTTCACCATGCTCTTGAGAAAATATTCGCTTAAAATATATTAATGAGTGAAAAGGTTTTCATCATTACTATTATAAAGGACACTTTATAACATATTCGCCATCTTTTCAATAAATTGCTAGACCTTTTTTTCCAACATGGTAATACTACTTAAAAAACTGTATTTTTTTAAGATTTCAGGGTTACTTTATATTTAATTTTAGTCCTTCTGGTGAGTGTATATCTTATTGTGGTTTTCTTTTGCGTTTTCCTGATGACCTGCAAAGTATTGGTTCAAATAGTTTACTCATTTTTACCATTTTTTCTTTGAATTATTGAATTCTAGGTGTCCTTTATTTATACAAAAAGCCAATTCTTTTAAAATATATGCGTGAATGTGTGCGTGTGCATGTATATATAAAATACTCACAATATATTCTATATACACTACTTGTATATGTATCTCCATAATACATATACATAAAACTCAAATTATATCTATATATAATGAAAAGGAGAGGGAGAAAGAATATTTTCTCCCAGTCTGTAACTTGCTTATTCATTTTCTTAATGGTATTTTTTGATGAGCAGAAATTTTAATTTTGATGTAGTTAAATTTATCAATTTTACTTCTGTTTACTGCTTTGTAGTTTAATGCTTTTAGAGGCTATAAAAATATAAACTTTTTTTTTTTTTGAGGTGGAGTCTCTCTCCGTCGCCCAGCTTGGAGTGCGGTGGCGCCAACTCGGCCAACTGCAAGCTCCGCCTTCCGGCTTCACGCCATTCTCCTGCCTCAGCCTTCCGAGTAGCTGGGACTACAGGCGCCCGCCACCACGCCTGGCTAATTTTTTTTGTATTTTTAGTAGAGACGGGGTTTCACCATGTTAGCCAGGATGGTCTCGATCTCCTGACCTCGTGATCCACCCGTCTCGGCCTTCCAAAGAAATATAAAGTATTTTTATATTTTCTTCTATGAGCCTTAGAGTTTTAGTTTTTGTATTTAGGTCTCTGATTCATCTTACTTGGAATTTTTTGAGGTAGTGATAGAATTTATTTATTTTTAAGGTATTTACTTGCCCTAGTACCACTGTTTGAAACTCCTTTAGTTTTTGCACATATTAAAGTATATAGATACATGTATTTTAAAATATTGCTGTTGTGTTTTTCAAAAAATTAGATAATTATATAAGACATATAAGTCACATAAATGACTGGACATTATATTCTGGAATCTGGGCTCTGTATTCTCTTTCCTCGATCTATTTATTTATTTTTTGTCTTTATGCTTGTTCCACACTATAATTATTGAAGCCAATTAAATTCCTCCAACTTTTTTCTTTTTTCAGATTACTTGAGTATTCTAGGTTCTTTGTATTTCTACATAAATTTTAGAGTCAGTTTACCAATTTTTATTTAAAATACCATTAGTGTTATTATGATCATATTCAATCAATAGATCATTTTAAAGATAACTAACATATTAACAAAATTCAGTCTTCCAACCCATGAACCCTGCCACTCTGCTAAATTTATTTATTGTTCTAATAGTTGTTTTATAAATTCCTTAGTATTTTCCATGTAAATGATTACACCACCTTCTAATAGAGATACTTTTAAAAATATATGCATTTTACTTCTACTTTCTTGCCTTCTTGCATTGGCAAGTGCCTCTAATGTAACACTAAATAAAAATGATATAAATCTCCTTGCCTTATTGCTGATCTTAGAAGAAAAGAGTTCAGTCTTTCATAATTAAATGTTGTGTTAGCTCTAGGTTTTCCATAAGTGTTCTTTTTCTTAAATTGAGTAAATGCCCACCTATTTCTACTTTACTGACATTTTTAAAATAATAAATTAGTGTTGATATTTGTCAAATCATTTTGCTGTCTCTATTGAAATCAGTATATCTTTTTTCTTTATTCTGTTATTAAGATAAATGTGAATTATTTTCAGTGTACTCACCAATTCAGTGAGGTACATAGGGTATTATTCCCATTTCCAATATGAGAAAATTGTAAAGTTTTCATTTTATGAATGAGAGGAGGTTGAGAGATATGGAGCAGAAAGTTCAATGGAATAACAGATTGATGAGCCAGGGTAATTGGAATGAGAGGGAATACCAGATAGGATATTTGAAATGGAAATGAGATTTTTATATAAGATTTGAGTTGATTTTAAAATTTCAAAGCAAAGTGGTTCCAAGGAATGAGAAAATCCAATATAGGGGTATGGAAACAGGTCATTCAAGTGGAGAAGAGCGTTTATGTTGGAAAGGTACCCAAACTAAAATATTAGATGCGTAGATGTTGAAGTCCCACAAGATGATGGAGATACTTGAAGAGAAAAAGGAGAATAAGTTCATTGCCAAAATCATCAGTAATGGTTGGGAGTGCCCAGGTGGTCATACAATGGCACATACAAGGAAAGCAAATGTGTGGTATTTCTAGATTTACTGGATCTCCAAACAAAGATTTTTTCACAAGAGTAGATTAATAATGATCTAGGAGCAGAATTGGTATCACAGTGTATAGTGGGATTTCTGTGTAAGATTTTCTTCCATATTGAATCATTTACCAAAAGAGTTGCCTATAATAACTCATTACAATTTTGGAATAAAGAAGTAGACATATACCCTTTTTTCCAATTCCAATTAAGAATATTGGCCATATATTTACATTAACAAAATGTGTGAATGGACACAAGTCAGTCTTAGTTTATATAACAAACTCCAATAAAATAAAAGTTTATCATGTTCCTGTATCTGGGTGCCTGAATTTATTTTTCTCTTCCCATTACATAATTTGACATCATTAGACACAATTCAGCTTGAGAAAGTACACAAAATGTGGCATAGCTGTTAAAATTAATGAATGTTCAGGTCTATTATAAATCATATATATATACATATTATATCTATATATATACACATATTCTCTCTCTATGTATATATAATACTGTTTCTCTAAAAACTCTTTCACAATATAAACCATTAACAAGATGAACCTGGCTTCATTTGTTATTTTTTCTCTAAAGATCAATTGGCAGAACGAGCTTTGTGATAAAAGCTACAAAGAAAGTAAGAAAGAGACAACTCACCTGCTGATTCCTTGAACAAAGTGTTTATAGGTCTCACATTTATATTAGCAAGACAATTAAAACATATTTTTATGCCTAGAAGCATTTCTGCTTTCTCCAGCTGCTTGATTTAAGTCATTATCTCCAGGACAATACATCTGTTGGCTACGGAGAGATTGGCTGTTTGGTATGTGTTTTGTAGGAAAGCCAACATATATTTTCCTTCTCAAAGTAGCAGTCAGGGTATCAATTTCTGCTATATTTTTACCAGAGAACATATTTTCAGTATGTCTAGCCTTAGTAGACCAAATCGGCCTCTAGGATATTATTTGCTTTCCTGAGAAATCAATAAAGTCAGGTAGTGATATAAATCCCATCTGTACAAATCTTTCAGCAGAAGTAACAAAATAACATTAAAAGTAAAGAGTGACCTAATTTCAGCTCTGAATGTTTTAAAGTAACAGGTATTTGGGTATAACAAATGAAGATCTGGGATAACTAAACTTTTGGATAATCATGGTTAGAGCTTATTCAATCATTGAGTGGTAATATCTGGAAACTTATTTTATAAAACTGTAGATAATTGGAATTGAGCATAAGAAAATCTGTGATAATTCAAATTTTAGATTCTCTTAGGATAAAAAAAAGACCCCTCTAGAAAACACAAATCCGAACCTCATCAATAATTTAGAAAGGGGAAAAACATATTTTTAATGAACTGACTAGTGTTTATGGAATTATTAATGACAGTCATGTAATACAATCTTATTCAGAGAATACCTTGATTTTAATCAGAATATAAGCAGGAATGTATTATTATGAAGCATTTCATAGCATTTAACAGCACAAATATATGTAATATATGTGTTATATCAACCACAAAATAGGTTTTAGAAGTATAATCATTCTTTTTTTTTTAAACAATTTAATCTTTTATTTTTATTTACATTTTATGTAGAATGCTTATAACTAGAAAGAAAGGTTTCTTTTTTTTTTATACTTTAAGTTTTAGGGTACATGTGCACATTGTGCAGGTTAGTTACATATGTATACATGTGCCATGCTGGTGCGCTGCACCCACTAACTTGTCATCTAGCATTAGGTATCTCTCCCGATGCTATCCCTCCCCCCTCCCCCCACCCCACAACAGTCCCCAGAGTGTGATATTCCCCTTCCTGTGTCCATGTGATCTCATTGTTCAATTCCCACCTATGAATGAGAATATGCGGTGTTTGGTTTTTTGTTCTTGTGATAGTTTACTGAGAATGATGATTTCCAATTTCATCCATGTCCCTACAAAGGACATGAACTCATCATTTTTTATGGCTGCATAGTATTCCATGGTGTATATGTGCCACATTTTCTTAATCCAGTCTATCATTGTTGGACATTTGGGTTGGTTCCAAGTCTTTGCTATTGTGAATAATGCCGCAATAAACATACATGTGCATGTGTCTTTATAGCAGCATGATTTATAGTCCTTTGGGTATATACCCAGTAATGGGATGGCTGGGTCAAATGGTATTTCCAGTTCTAGATCCCTGAGGAATCGCCACACTGACTTCCACAATGGTTGAACTAGTTTACAGTCCCACCAACAGTGTAAAAGTGTTCCTATTTCTCCACATCCTCTCCAGCAGCTGTTGTTTCCTGACTTTTTAATGATTGCCATTCTAACTGGTGTGAGATGGTATCTCATTGTGGTTTTGATTTGCATTTCTCTGATGGCCAGTGATGATGAGCATTTTTTCATGTGTTTTTTGGCTGCATAAATGTCTTCTTTTGAGAAGTGTCTGTTCATGTCCTTCGCCCACTTTTTGATGGGGTTGTTTGTTTTTTTCTTGTAAATTTGTTTGAGTTCATTGTAGATTCTGGATATTAGCCCTTTGTCAGATGAGTAGGTTGCTCAAAGGGAAGCCCATCAGACTAACAGCGGATCTCTCGGCAGAAACCCTACAAGCCAGAAGAGAGTGGGGGCCAATATTCAACATTCTTAAAGAAAAGAATTTTCAACCCAGAATTTCGTATCCAGCCAAACTAAGGTTCATAAGTGAAGGAGAAATAAAATACTTTACAGACAAGCAAATGCTGAGAGATTTTGTCACCACCAGGCCTGCCTTACAAGAGCTCCTGAAGGAAGCACTAAACATGGAAAGGAACAACCAGTACCAGCCACTGCAAAATCATGCCAAAATGTAAAGACCATCGAGACTAGGAAGAAACTGCATCAACTAACAAGCAAAATAACCAGCTAACATCATAATGACAGGATCAAATTCACACATAACAATATTAACTTTAAATGTAAATGGACTAAATGCTCCAATTAAAAGACACAGACTGGCAAATTGGATAAAGAGTCAAGACCCATCAGTGTGCTGTATTCAGGAAACCCATCTCACGTGCAGAGACACACATAGGCTCAAAATAAAAGGATGGAGGAAGATCTACCAAGCCAATGGAAAACAAAAAAAGGCAGGGGTTGCAATCCTAGTCTCTGATAAAACAGACTTTAAACCAACAAAGATCAAAAGAGACAAAGAAGGCCATTACATAATGGTAAAGGGATCAATTCAACAAGAAGAGCTAACTATCCTAAATATATATGCACCCATACAGGAGCACCAAGTTTCATAAAGCAAGTCCTGAGTGACCTACAAAGAGACTTAGACTCCCACACATTAATAATGGGAGACTTTAACACCCCACTGTCAACATTAGACAGATCAATGAGACAGAAAGTCAACAAGGATACCCAGGGATTGAACTCAGCTCTGCACCAAGCGGACCTAATAGACATCTACAGAACTCTCCACCCCAAATCAACACAATATACATTTTTTTCAGCACCACACCACACCTATTCCAAAACTGACCACATACTGGGAAGTAAAGCTCTCCTCAGCAAATGTAAAAGAACACAAATTATAACAAACTATCTCTCAGACCACAGTGCAATCAAACTAGAACTCAGGATTAAGAATCTCACTCAAAACCGCTCAACTACATGGAAACTGAACAACCTGCTCCTGAATGACTACTGGGTACATAACGAAATGAAGGCAGAAATAAAGATGTCCTTTGAAACCAACGAGAACAAAGACACAACATACCAGAATCTCTGGGATGCATTCAAAGCAGTGTGTAGAGGGAAATTTATAGCACTAAATGCCCACAAGAGAAAGCAGGAAAGATCCAAAATTGACACCCTAACATCACAATTAAAAGAACTAGAAAAGCAAGAGCAAACACATTCAAAAGCTAGCAGAAGGCAAGAAATAACTAAAATCAGAGCAGAACTGAAGGAAATAGAGACACAAAAGACCCTTCAAAAAATTAATGAATCCAGGAGCTGGTTTTTTGAAAGGATCAACAAAATTGATAGACCGCTAGCAAGACTAATAAAGAAAAAAAGAGAGAAGAATCAAATAGACACAATAAAAAATGATAAAGGGGATATCACCACCGATCCCACAGAAATACAAACTATCATCAGAGAATACTACAAACACCTCTATGCAAATAAACTAGAAAATCTAGAAGAAATGGATAAATTCCTGGACAACATACACTCTCCCAAGACTAAACCAGGAAGAAGTTGAATCTCTGAATAGACCAATAACAGGAGCTGAAATTGTGGCAATATTCAATAGCTTACCAACCAAAAAGAGTCCAGGACCAGATGGATTCACAGCCGAATTCTACCAGAGGTACAAGGAGGAACTGGTACCATTCCTTCTGAAACTATTCCAATCAATAGAAAAAGAGGGAATCCTCCCTAACTCATTTTATGAGGCCAGCATCATTCTGATACCAAAGCCTGGCAGAGACACAACCAAAAAAGAGAATTTTAGACCAATATCCTTGATGAACATTGATGCAAAAATCCTCAATAAAATACTGGCAAACTGAATCCAGCAGCACATCAAAAAGCTTATCCACCATGATCAAGTGGGAATCATTCTTAAAAAATTAAAAATGCTCAACGTTTCCCTTCAGCCACAATTATTAGCTGTTTTAGCTATTATAAGTCTAAAATTATCATTTCACTTACAAGATTGTGTCTGAAATTCCCATCAATAGACTTACTTTTTGAGTTAAGATGTAGTCTAAAAGTGGTAAGTCTGAAAACACAAGATTTCAGGAAAGAAGAGGGGTAATGCTCTGGTTCATTTCCTATTTGTTTCTGACATACTAATGTGAATCAGTATGTCAATGTTCATGAAAATGTTGGTTTATATACAAATTATAACAATATTTAATAGATTTGACTTAATAAAAATATACAAATCTGTATCCAAAAATTGCAAAATAAACATTCTCTTTTAAATACATATAAAACATCTGTCAAAATGACTTTTATCTTTTCTAGAAAGCAAGCCTCAACAAATTTTAAAGGCCTCATATCACATAAGAGTATGTCCTCTGACCATTGTTGGATTAATCTAGAAATCAATATTAGAAAAAATCTAGAAGATACACAAATAGTTAAATTAAACAATACAATTCTAAATAACAAACCAAATCACAACCAAAATTGGAAATATTTAGAACTAAATGCTTATGAAAAAATACAGTATGTTATAGCTTGTGGAATATGGCTGTTTTTAGAGGAAAAAGGGTAGCTTCAAATCCATATATTAGAAAATAACAAACACTGAAAAATAATGATCTAATTGCTGATCCTCAAGAAGTTAGGAAGCAAACACTAATGAAACCCAAGAGAAATAGAGAGATCAATAATTATAAAGATAAGTTAATAGGATTAAGGAAAACAAACATACATGAGAGAAAAAAAAGCTGAGAGTTGATTCTTAGAATATACAACAACCCTGACACAAATGATAATGAGTAAATTAGTAATATCAGTAGTATATAAGATATATCATCATAGATGCCATTGACTTTTTAGAAGAGGATATCTCACTTATCTATTTTAAAGTCAGTGATATCTATAATGACGTATCTTGCATTCCGCAGAAATTTCCTAACAAGGTTCAGCAATAGAAATTTGAAAATACAAAAGAAAAATTGTTCTCCAAAGTAGTTTTCAATTAAACTGATTCATATCACCAAAAAAGATGAAGGTATTATTTCTTAAATGTCATTGAATTTGAACAGTTAAATCAGTAGTAACCAATGGAAA
Organism: Homo sapiens; assembly: GCF_000001405.40. Taxonomy (NCBI): domain Eukaryota; kingdom Metazoa; phylum Chordata; class Mammalia; order Primates; family Hominidae; genus Homo; species Homo sapiens. The sequence goes on from NC_000002.12 coordinate 188,829,225, forward strand.
CTTCCACAGTGAAGAAATATAATTTACACCATTCAATATGGTAGCCACTCCCCACCTGTAGCTAGCTAATGAGCACTTGAAATGTGACTAACATGACTAAAAAACACAATTTCTAAATTATTAAATAATTTATATTTAAATAGCTAATACTTTCATATTGGACAGTGAAGATTTTCATGAAATGTATACATTTCCAGAATGAAAAAAAAATAGCACACACGATGGAATAAAAAATTTGAATAGCCTTGTAAGTATTTAAATTGGTACCATTAAAATGGCACTGCTGAAAAGATACCCAAAAATGTGGAAGCAACTTTGGAACTGGGTAACAGGCAGAGGTTGGAATGGTTTGGAGAGCTCAGAAGACAACAGGAAAATGTGGGAAAGTTTGGAACTTCCTAGAGACTTGCTGAATGGCTTTGACCAAAATGCTTACAATGATATGGACAATGAAATCCAATCTGAGGTGGTCTCAGATAGAGATGAGGAACTTGTTGGGAGCTGGAGCAAAGGTGACTCTTGTTATGTTTTAGCAAAGAGATTGGCAGCACTTTTTTCCCCTGCCCTAGAGATTTGTGGAACTTTGAACTTGAGAGAGATTATTTAGAGTATCTGGCAGAAGAAATTTCTAAGAAGCAAAGCATTCAGGAGGTGACTTGGGTGCTGTTAAAGCATTCAGTTTTGAAAGGGAAACACCACATAAAAGTTTGGAAAATTTGCAGCCTGACCATGCAATAGAAAAGAAAATCTCATTTTCTGAGGGGAAATACAAGCAGCCTCCAGAAATTTGCATAAGTAACAAGGAGCTGAATGTTAATCACCAAGACAATGAGGAAAATATCTCCAGGGCATGTCAGAGGTTTTCACAGCAGTTTCTCCCATTACAGGCCTGGAGGCCTAGGAGGAAAAAGTGGTTTTGCAGGCCAGGCCCAGAGTCCCTAGGCTGCATGTAGGTGGGGAGTGGCTACCATATTGAATGGTGCAGCCTAGGGACTTGGTGCCCTGCATCCTCACCACTCCTGCTGTGGCTGAAAGGAACCAACAGAGAACTCGGGCCACGGCCTTAAAGGATGCAAACCTCAAGCCTTGGCATCTTCCACATGGTGTTGAGCCTGCGAGTGCACAGAAGTCAAGAACTGGGATTTGTCAAGAACTCTGCCTAGATTTCAAAGGATGTACGGAAACACCTGGATGTCCAGGTAGATGTTTGCTACAGGGGCAGGGCCCTCATGGAGAACCTCTGCTATAGCAGTGCAGAAGGGAAATGTAGTCTCAGAGCCCCGACATAGAGTCCCTACTGGGGCACCACCTAGTGGAGCTGTGAGAAGAGGGCTACCATCCTCCAGACCCCAGAATGGTAGATCAACTAACAGCTTGCACCTGGAAAAGCCACAGACACTGAACACCAGACCGTGAAAGCAGCCAGGAGGGGGGTTATACCCTGCAAAGCCACAGGTATGAGCTTCCGCAGGCTGTGGGAGCCTACCTCTTGCATCAGTGTGATCTGGATGTGACACAAGGAGTCAAAGGAGATCATTTTGGAGCTTTAACATTTGACTGCTCTGCTAAATTTTGGACTTGCATGGGGCCTGTAGCCCCTTTGTTTTGGTCAATTTCTCCCATTTGGAATGGCTATATTTATCCAATGCCTGTACCACCCCCCACCCCCCCATTGTATCCAGGAAGTAACTAACTTGCTTTTAATTTTACAGGCTCATAGGCAGAAGGGACTTGCCTTGTCTCAGATGAGACTTTGGACTGTGTGCACTTTTGAGTTAATGTTGAAATGAGTTGGGGACTCATGTTGGGGACTGCTGAGAAGGCATGATTGATTTTGAAATGTGAGGGCATGAGATTTTGGAGGAGCCAGGGGCAGAATGATATGGTTTGACTGTGTCCCCACCCAAATCTCATCTTGAATTGTAACTCTGACAATTCCCATGTTTCATGGGAGGAACCCAGTGGGAGGTAATTGAATCATGGGGGTGCTGTTCTGTTCTCATGATAGTGAATAAGTCTCATGAAATGTGATGGTTTTTAAAATGGGGGTTTCCCTGCACAAGCTCTTTGCCTGCTGCCATCCATGTAAGATAAGACTTGCTCCTCCTTGCTTTCTGCCATGATTGTGAGGTGTCCTCAGTCATGTGGAACTGTAAGTCCATTAAGCCCTTTTTCCTGTATAAATTGCCCAGTCTTGGGTGTGTCTTTATCAGTAGCATGAAAATATACTAATATGATATTAAGGAAATTAATTCTATAATTAAAAAATCTTCCTCAAAGAAATTTCCAAACACCATTGGTAACCCATTTCTTAAATCAGTCATTATAGTCTGATATATTAAGAGAAAAATTATAGTAATCTCAACAGATATAGAAAATTATTTGTACCTATTCAAATCTGTAGCAAAAAATCCAATAAAAGATATGCAAAATATCTAGACAGAAAAACCATAAAATAGTATATGGCAAATTTAAATTTAAAAATATGTAAATAAATGGAGATATTCCATACTCATGGATTGGAATATTCAACCCTCTCCTTCATATTTTTTAAATGGCTTCATTACAATCCCATTTAAAATAGCAAGAGATTTGAAAAAGGTCTAGGCCAGGGTTATGCAGACCACAGTCTGTGGGCCAAATTTGGACCTGCTGTTTATTTTGTAAATTTGTCACACCCATCTTTTGCATATTGTCTATGGCTGCTTTTGAGCTACAATGGCAGAGTTGAATAACTATGACAGCATAACTATACTGTGTGCCCCACAATATCACCTTTATTTATTATTTGTCCCTTTACAGAAAAGCTTCGGCAACTCTGGACCTAGACAATCTTAAAGGAGAACAAAATTAGGGGACACATATACTACTGAATATCAAGACACTATAAAGTAGCTAAGCAGTTAACTATCTTTATTATAAGAGTAGTTAAAATAACATGCTAGACAAACACAAATAGTCAAATCAATATCACAGATTATAGAGTTCAGAAAGACACTCTCACTTATATGGACAATTAAGTTAAGACCAGACCAGCGGGGACAGCACTGTGCTTTCAATGAAGGTGCCAAGACAACTACATAACCTATGGAAAAATTAATAGTCTTGACCCTATCTCATGCCATATACTAATATCAATTTTGGGGGCATTGTAAATTTAAATATGAAATGCTAAACCATAAAGCTTGTAGATGAGATCATAGAATATCTTCATAATATTTAGCCATATTAGAAAGGGCACAAACTGGGTGCAGTGGCTCACGTCTGTAATCCTAGAACTTTGAGAGGCCAAGGCAGGTGGATCACCTGAGGTCAGGAGTTCGAGACCAGCCTAACCAACATGGAGAAACCCCATCTCTACTAAAAACACAAAATTAGCCTGGTATGGTGGTGCATGTCTGTAATCTCAGCTACTTGGAAGGCTGAGTTAGGAGAATCCCTTGAACCTGGGAGGCAGAGTTTGTGGTGAGCCGAGATTGCGCCATTGTACTCCAGCCTGGGCAACAAGAGCAAAACTCCGTTTCAAAAAAAAAAAAAAAAAGAAAGACAGAAAATGCACAAAATACTAATAAAGGAAAGACTAATTGTATGATATTAAAATTAGAAAGTTCACTTTATTCCAAGTACATTAAAAAATAAAATGTTTAGCTATAATTAAAGAATATATCTATACATATCTAATCAACAAATGATATATATCTAATCTATATAAAAAATATACGTTAGACTTCTACTTTCAGCTCTGACATGTAAAGAGCTTATAAATTGTAACTTCCATCCTTATAAGCAAAAGCTGGACAAACTGACAATCAGTGGCTTTTCTTTGTCTCCTCAGAGATTTGGGGTTGCAAGAAAAACCACTATGCCACAATCCGAAAACACAGGCAAAGCCAGAACATCAGGACCAAGGTCTGATTACTTGGAGTAGAAGCCACAGGAGCCATAAGCTGGTTGGAACATTTCAATGGCAAATTTGGTAAATTGTTGGAGGCTGAGTGAGGAATAGCGTTAGAGTGAGAAATTTCTGCCAGTCTCCACTATTTTGTGGGCTTTACCTCCAGGAAGCCCACTTTTGTGAACATTGTGAACACCAGAGAAAGATCCTCTCTGGGCTCTGGAAGGAGAAGAAGAAGAGTAATAATTATGAAATGCACTGAGCCTTCTCTACAACAAAGGCCTATTTTATAGGGAAAAGTACTTTGCCAGAGTCTTATGCTAACTGAGGGAAGAAAATTCCTTCTGCACTATCTCCCTCTAGCATTTTTGCCTCTCTGGGCAGGTGGGGGGAGGGTTGGGGTGGTGGTGATGGTGACACAAACATAGTCACAGTCACAGGTGTTAGTGGTTTGAGTAAAGAGGTCAAGAATGCTGCAGCTAAGGGAGGGAGTTAAAAAAGAAGATAAAATAGAAAGGAAAAGGTATGTCATTGTAGAAACAATTTATGAAAGTCATGTGCCTATCTTGATTGAAATTTAATTGGAAGATTATAGAATGTTTTCTTCACCCTTACCTTACCACTGTGCCAACAGGGCTCTGGCATAATCACAGTGATTAGTATTGTAAAAGCTGCAAAACACAGACTTTCTGAGGGGAAGTACTTAAGGAAGCCTAAAGTCAAGAAATAAGGCAAAAACTAAGATACTACTGTAACTGAAGCAAACATTAAACACTGTCAAATTACCAGCCAGATTAATATAAATTGTCACTATAAAGATCTATTTATTCAGTTTCTGTTACCTGATAAACATGTGAGAGGTTCAACAAAATTTGCAAGTCATTCCTAAAGGCAAGAAGAAAACACACTCTGAAGAGACAAAGCAATTATCCAAACAGACTCCAACATGACACAGCTGTTAGAATTATGAGACAGGAAATTTTAAAGAATTATAATTAGGATGTGATATAGTTTGGATATTTGCCCCCCCAACTTCATGTTGAATTGTCATCTCCAATGTTGGAGGTGAGGCCCAGTGGAAGGTGATATGATAATGGGGATGGAATTCATATGAATGGCTTGGCAGCATTCCCTTGGTGCTGTCCTCATGATAGTTTGTTCTCATGAGATCTGGTTGTTTAAAAGTATGTAATACCTTCCCCCTTGCTCTCTCTTGCTTCTGGTTTCACCATGTGTTGTGCCTGTTCCTGCTTCACCTTCTGCCAAGAGAAAAGATCTCTGAGGCCTCACCAGAAACCAAGCAGATACCCGTGCCATGCTTGTACAGCCTGCAGGACTGTCAACCAATTAAATCTCTTTTCTTTGTGGGTTACTAATCCTAGGGTATTTCTTTATAGCAATGCAAGAATGGCCCGACACAGGATGTTAAAAGTTCTAATGTCCTTTGGATTGGAAAAAGTAGACAATATGCCAGAATAGATGGATAATGTAGGCAGAGAGTTGGAATAGCTAAGAAAAAAAAAAAAGAAAACACCAGAAATCAAAACCATAAATGAATAATGACTTTGATGCACTCCTCAATAGATTTGACAAAGCTAAGTAAACAAATCAGTGATCTTGAAGATAAGGTCAATAAAAACGTGTATACATCTAAAAACAGACCCAAATATATGAGGCAAAACATGATAGAGCTGAAAAGAGAAATAGACAAATGTACTATTATAGATGGAGACTTCTGCGTTCCTCTATCAGTAATTGATAGACCAGCAGGCAGAAAATTAGTAAGATGTAGGTGACCTGAATAGCACCATTAATCAACTTGATGTACTTGACATTCACAGAATGCTTTATTCAACAATAGCAGGATACATATTCTTCATCAAGCTCACATAGAACTTCCTTGCACATAGGCAATAAAACACATCTGAACAAAAAAAGAATTGAAATCATACAAATTATTTTCTCTGACCACAATGGAATTAAACTAGAAATCAGTAACAGAAAAGTAACTGGAAAAATCCTAAATGCTTGGAAGTCAAACAACATACTTGTAAATAACCCATGGGTCAAAGAAATCTCCATAGAAATTTAAAAAGGCCCATAGGAGTGACAATAGCCAGATGGCTGACTAGAACTTTTTAGTACTCTTTCTCCCCATGAAAAAACCCAAATAACAAATAAGCTGCATTTTACCAAAAGAACTAAAGGAGAACACCAGAGAATAGCAAAGAAGCAGCAGAAATCCTGTAGAGCACAGAAACCCACAGTAGTTCCGCAGAGAAGAAATGAAACACCTTGCCTACACCACCTCATTCTCCCAGTTGGAATTAGTTCAGAACAAGGAGGGACTTTCTGGTAAGCAAGAAGACCCCACCAGCCCCAATCACCACCATGGACACTTACAGTCTTTGCTACTGGAGACACCTGCAGTCCTCACAGGTTCTGAGGCCCACTTGAGGGAGATCTCCAGAGTCTACATTCTGAGTTAGCCCCAGAGAAGGAGATGATACTGTGACTTGCCTCACTACCCCCACCCTCACACCCTGCTGTGGCCCGTGTTGCTACTGTTCTGCACCATTTTGGAACTGGAGCCACTGTTAGAATGCGTCCTGCTCCAGGTCAAGTAGGCTTGCACCACTCCATCCCTGAGGCTCAGCGCCACTGCACCACATGCACCTGGTAGCCTGCTATCCCTAAGCGTAGCTGCTACTATCACCTACATCCTAGGGCCAAGATACTGCAGAGCCAGTCCATCCTTCCAGGCACTGGTACATCCTCCCCCTAGGTTAAAACAGATGCAGTGCCCCACTCCTGAAAGACCTCAGGCCTCTGGCACACCAGAGTAGTCACACCTTCCCACACCATAGGTGAGGCAGCATCTCCCCGTCAGGAGCTCTGAGCCTCTGGCACACTGGAGCACTTGCACCTCCCAGCACCACAGCTGCCCCACTTCCAGGGATCCAGAAGCTCTGCTGACTCATGTAGATGTGCTTTCTGGTGACTGAGAAGACATTGTGCTTTATGCCTCAGAGAATCAGAGCCTAGGCTGAGCTATGACACTCAGCTCAGGCTGAATAGCCACAGTGCCCCGGCTACCTAAAACTAGACTAGTACCTCACAGGCTAAGCTGCTGAAGCACTGTGCCTTTTTAGGGAGTGGAGCCATTGCTGTGCTGCTCCCCACACTCCCAGAGCATAAGCCACAGTAGCATTTTGTCATTCCTGGATCCTTGCTACTCCTGAACCTGGTCCCACCAGTAGCATGTCTACTGTCATGTCCCACCATCTCAGGATCCAAAGTCACCACTCATCCCCCAGAGCCTGAGCTGCCACTATGTTCTGATGGCTCTGGGTCCCAAATTGCAGTTGTACCCTGCTCCCAGGGACCTAGCCTCCAGTGTACTCCTTCTTCCCCAGAACTGTGCAGTGCTGTGCCTCCCACTGCAGGTCAGAACCAAAGCTACATTCCAGCCCCCCTGGGCCTGAGCTGCTGAATTGGGCCTCAGAACAATAGACCCCTAGCTTAGTGGAAGAACTGCATCCCCTCATACCTTAAAGAGTACATATGTGCCTCAAGTCACAGGTGCTATAGTAATTTTCAAGACACTGAGCCTAGGAACCCACTCCACAGCTGCTTTGAGCACCTGTGCCTGGGATCCCAGTGCCATTATGGCTGCCTATAGGCTGTGTCAGATCCAATACCAAGAAAGACCCCCTCAGCTAAGACTCCACACTGTTAGGACGATAAGAACAGAAGTATCCCTAAAGCCCCTGACCTTATAACCTATCCAGCCACTGCCACTGCCACAAACTCCTGAAGCCTAGGTCACTGAAGCACTTGTGTGCATTGTTAACATTGATCCTAATGGAAGAAACTACACAGAGACATACTACTGTGTCCACATGGAACCAGAGCAACCATACCTTGCCCAACTGGCACCTTCAGGGCCAACTACAGGTGAAAGTCTTCTCCAATGAAAGCCACTCTGTAAAGGAGGTGGTGACTGCACCATCAGGTGTGCAAACATCAACAAAAGGATGTAAGAAATATAAAAAGGAAAGAAACCTGACACCACCAAAGAAACACATACCTCTTTAGTAATATACTTCCCAAAAATAGAAATTTATGAATTGCCTGAAAAAAAGTTCAAATTAATAATCATAAGGAAACTCAGTGAGATATAAAAGGATACAAATAGATAATGCATTAAAATCAGGAAAATAACTCATCATCTGAATAAGAAACTCAACAAAGAGGTACATACATAAAAAAATTAGAAATCTTGGAGCTAAATAATTTAATTAATAAAACAAATATACTGTTGAGAGCTTCAAGAGCAGACTAGATCAAGCAAGGAAAAGTTGTGAACTTGAAGGTAGGTCTTTTGAAATGACTTGTTCAGAGGGATAAAAAGAAAAAAGAATGATAAAGAGTGAAGAAATCCTAGAGGACTTATGAGACACCATTGAGCAAACAGATATTCATTCACATTATGAAAATTATGGAAGGAGAAGAGACAGATAAATGTTCAGAAAGCTTATTTAACATAAAAAAGATGAAAACTTTCCAAGTCTTGAAAGATAAATGAATATTTAGGTCCATGAAGCTCAAAAGTTTCTAAATAGATTCATCCTAAAGATGCAATTTCCAAGGCCCATTTTTTTCAAATTTTCAAAAGTCAAAGACAAAGACAGAGCTTTAAACATAGCAAGGGAAAATAATTAAGTAATAATGCTTTTCCTTTCCACATATAAGGAAATTTCAATTGGACTATCAACAGATTTCTCAACAAAAACCTTACAGGTCAAGAGAGAATGAGATAAATATTCAAAGTGCTGTTAGAAAAAATTATCAGACAAGAATACCATGCCCAGCAAAATTATCTATCCAAAATGAAGGAGAAATAAAGCTTTTCACAGACAAGCAAAAACTGAGGAAATTCATTACCACTAGACTTACCTTACAAGAAGTGCTTAAGGGGGTTCTTCAAGTAGAAATAAAAGGATAATAATCACAAATACATATAAATACATGTGAATTATACATAATTAAATCTTAAATACATGTATGAGTTTATCACAAAGTATGAAACTAACTAATACCAGTAAACATGTGATCAAATCCAGAATATTTAAATATTGTAATGTTGGTGAATAGATCATATATATCTCTAGTATGAAGATATGTTTTGACTCTTAGTAGAGTCGAAATGGCCAAAAATAACTAAAGCTACAATTACTTGTTAAGGAATACATAATATAAAAAGATGTAAATTGTGACATCAAATCATACATTGTGGAAGGGTAGGGTAAAAGCCTAGAGATTTTGTATGTGACAGATGTTAAGTTGCTATCAGCTTAAAATAGTAGATTATAATCATGAGGCATTATAGAAGTTTCATGCTAATCACAAAACAACAACAAAAACCTACAAAAGCTAGTAATAAAGAGGAGGGAATAAGAGGTTAGCACTACAGAAAATTATCACATCACAAACATAACATACACAACAAGTGAGAAAGAAAGGAAAAAGGATCTACAAAACAACTGGAAAACCAATAATAAAATGGCAGTAGTAAGTCCTCACCTATCAAAGGTAACCTTGAGTTGAAATGAATTAAATTCCCCAATCAAAAGACAGAATGGTTGAGTGAATTAAAAAAAAAAAAAATCTAACGATATGCTGTCTACAAGAGACCAACTTAAGCTTTAAAGGTACACATGAGCTGAATGGAAAAGGATGAAAGAAGATATTCCATGTAAATGGTAACTGAAAGAGAACAGGGGTGACTATACTTATATCTGATAAAAAGACTTCAAGTCAAAAATTGCAAGAGACAAATGGTCATTATTTAATGATAAAGGGGTCAATTTGTCAATAGGAAATAACCATTATAAATATCTATGCACCCAGCAGAGAAGCACCTAAATACATAAAACAAATATTAATGGAAGGGAGAAATAGAAATAAAATATTAGTATTGGGTTTCAGTACCCCACTTTTAAAAATAAATAAATCAACAAGACAAAAAAAATAAGAAAATTCTAATTTTGAATTGCCCGTTTGACCAAATGGACCTAACAGAATGTCCTAGTCCATTTTTTTGCTCCTATAACTGAATACCTGAGACTGGGTAACTTAGAAAGAACAGAGATCTATTTCTTACAGTTCTAGAGGCTGGAAAGTACAAGGCTGATGGGCGTGCATCTGATGAGAGGCTTCTTGCTACATCATTCCATGGCAGAAGGCAGAAGGCAAGAGAACATGTGCATACATTAGAGAGGAAAGGGGCTGAACTCATTCTTTCATCAGGAGCCCAATCCCACAATAAGACTCTGACTCCTCTGATTACAACTTAACCCATTCATGAGGGGAAAGCCTTTGTGACTTAATCATCACTTAAAGGTCCCACCTCTCAACACTGTTACATTGGGAATTAGATTTCCAACACAAAATCTTAAAAACTTTGGCAGAACATATTTAATCCATAGCACAGACATACACATAACTTTTCACCCAACAGCAGCAGAATGCACATTTTTCTCTAGCACATGTGAAATATTCTCCAGTATAGACCATATGTTAGACCATGAATATTTAAGAAGATTAAAATAATGTCTAGTATCATTTCAGAACACAATAGTATAAAACTGGAAATCAATATCAGTAGGAATCTTAGAAAATTACAAATATTTGAAAATTAAACAACATGCTCCTAAACAACCAATGGCTCAAAGAGGAAATTGAGCCAAATGTCATGAGACAAATGGCAATGGAAACACAACATTCCAAAACCCATCATGTGCTTCAAAAACAGACCTAAAAAGAAAGTTTATAACAACAGGCTGAGCGCAGTGGCTCATGCCTATAATCCCAGCACTTTGGGAGGCTGAGGAGAGTGGATAATCTAAGATCAGAAGTTCAAGATCAGCCTGATCAACATGGGGAAATGCCATCTGTACTAAAAATACAAAAAATTAGCCGGGCATCATGGTGGGTGCCAGTAATCCCAGCTACTTAGGAGGCTAAGGCACAAGAATTGCTTGAACCTTGGAGGCAGAGTTTGAAGTGAGCTGAGATCTCGCCACTGCACTCCAGCTTGGGCAACAGAGTGAGACTCCATCTCAAAAAAAAAAAAAAAAAAAGAAAAGAAAGAAAGTTTATAACAACAAATGCCTACATTAAAAATGTAGAGGAAGGTGGTAGGCAAAATGGCCAAATAGGAACAGCTCTGGTCTGCAGCTCCCAGCGAGATTAAGGCAGAAGGGGGTAATTTCTGCATTTCCAACTGAGGTACCTGGCTCATCTCACTGGGAATGGTTAGACAGTTGGGTGTAGCCCACAGAGGGTGAGCTGAAGTAGGATGGGGTGTCACCTCACCTGGGAAGCGCAAGAGGTCGGGGAACTCCATCATCTAGCCAAGGGAAGCCTTGAGGGACTGTGCCATGTGAAATGGTGCATTCCAGCCCAGATACTATACTTTTCCCATGGTCTTTGCTACCCACAGGCCTGGAGATTGCCTCAGGTGCTTACACCACCAGGGCCCTGGATTTCAAGCACAAAAGTTGGCAGCCATTTGGGCAGACACCGAGCTAGCAGCAGGAGTTTTTTTTCATACCACAATGATGCCTGGAACATTAGTGAGACAGAACCGTTCACTCCCCTAGAAAGGGAGCTGAAGCCAGGGAGCCAAGTGGCCTAGCTCAGCAGATCCCACTCCCATGGAGCCCAGCAAGCTAAGATCCACTGGTTTGAAATTCTCACTGCCAGTACAGCAGTCTGAAGTCAACCTGGGACACTCAAGCTTGGTGGTGGGAGGGGCATTTACCATTACTGAGGCTTAAGTAAGCTGTTTTCCCCTCACAGTGTAAACAAACCCACCAGGAAGTTTGAATTGGGCGGAGCCCACTGCAGCTCAGCAAAGCTGCTATAGCCAGACTGCCTCTCTAAATTCCTCCTCTCTGGGCAGGGCATCTCTGAAAGAAAAGCAGCAGACCCAGTCAGGGGCTTATAGATAAAATTCCCATCTTCCTGAGACAGAGCACCTGGGGGAAGGGATGGGATGGCTGTGGGCACAGCTTCAGCAGACTTAAACGTTCCTGCCTGCCAGCTCTGAAGAGAGCAGCAGATCTCCCAAAGCAGTGCTCAAGCTCTGCAAAGGGACAGACTCCCTCCTCAAGTGGGTCCCTTAACCCTGGGCCACCTGACTGGGAGACATCTCCCAGCAGGGGTCGACAGACACCTCATACAGGAGAGCTCCGGCTGGCATCTTGTGGGTGCCCCACTGGGATGAAGCTTCCAGAGGAAGGAACAGGTAAAATTCTTTCCTGTTCTGCAGCCTCCACTGGTGATACCCAGGCAAACACCGTCTGGAGTGGACTCGCAGCAAACTCCAGCAGAACTGCAGCAGAGGGGCCTGACTGTTAGAAGGGAAACTAACAAACAGAAAGGAATCACATCAACATCAACAAAAAGGACGTCCACTCAAAAACCTCATCTGAAGGTCACCAACATCAAAGACCAAAGGTAGATAAATCCATCAAGATGAGGAAAAAACAGCATAAAAAGGCTGAAAATTCTAAAAATGGAAATGCCTCTTCTCCAAAGGATCACGACTCCTTGCCAGCAAGGGAACAAAACTGGATGGAGAATGAGCTTGACAAATTGACAGAAGTAGGATTATAAATTATTCTATTATAAAGACATGTGCACATGTATATTTATTGCAGCACTATTCAAAATAGCAAAGAGTTAGAACTAATCCAAATGCCCATCAATGATAGACTGGATAAAGAAAATGTGGCACATATACACCATGGAATACTGTGCAGCCATAAAAAAGGATGCATTCATGTCCTTTGCAGGGACATGGATGAAGCTGGAAACCATCATTCGCAGCACACTAACACAGGAATAGAAAACTAAACACCACATTATCACTTGTAAGTAGGAGTTGAACAGTGAGAACACATGGACACAAGGAAGGGAACATCACATACTGGGGCCTGTTGGGGGGTAGAGGTCTAGGGGAGGGATAGCATTAGGAGAAATGCCTAATGCAGATGATGGTTTAATGGGTGCAGCAAACCATTATGGCACATGTATACCTATGTAACACCTGCATGTTCTGCACATGTATCCCAGAACTTAAAGTATAATTTAAAAAAGAAAAAAAAACAGAAGTGAATATTGACAAATATCCATTTTTGTCATAGAAAAAAGTTATATAATAACTTCAACATGTGTTTCTCCACTAATAATTAGGGTGTGTCTTCACATTTACAAGAGTCATTTGTAGTTCCTTATCTGTGACCTATCTATTCATATTCTTTGCTCATTTTTCTAAATAGCTGTTGTTCTTTTTCTCATTGATTTGGAAAAGCTCTATATGTATTAAGAAAATTATCAGCCAGGCACAGTGGCTCACATCTGTAATTCCAGCACTTTGGAGGCCGAGTTGGGGGGATCACTTGAGGTCAGGAGTTTGAGACCAGCCTGGCCAACATGAAGAAACCCTGTCTCTACTAAAAATACAAAAATTAGCTGGTCGTGGTGGTACGTGTCTGTAATCCCAGCTACTCAGGAGGCTGGGTCAGAGGAATCACTTGAACCAGGAGGCAAAGACTGCAGTGAGCCGAGATTGTGCCACTATACTCTAGCCTGGGTGACAGAGCAAGACTCTGTCTCAAAAAAAAAAAAAAAAAGGAAAAAAGAAAATTATCCCTTTGCTTATGATTTGAGTTGAAACTATGTTTTCTCTATTTAGCAGACCAATTTAGAGTGGTAAATAGCTAAAAACCAAACTATACCAAGAAAACCACCCATAAGTGAAAAGATACATTTGTAATCTGTAACTTGAAGCAGTGAAAACAACAACAACAACAACAAAAAAAAAATGAAGAGAGATCCCAGTTAAATAGTCTAACATTAAACCTCTAGGAACTACAATAAGAAGAATAAACTAAACCCAAAATCAGATAAAGAAAATAAATGATAAAAATAAGGAGATAATTATGTCAAATAAAGAACAGAAAAACCATAGAAAGAATCAATAAAACTAATAGTTTTTAAAAAATTGACAAACTCTTAACTAGCCTAAGAAACAAGACATAGACTTAAGTAAATAAAATAAATGAAAGTAAAGACATTGCAATAGATGTCTCAGAAATAAAAAGAATCATTAGAAACTATTATGAACAATTGTATGCCAACAAATTGAAAAATGTAGAGGAAAGAGAGAAATTCCTAGAAAAATACAACCTACCAAGATCAAGTTAAGAATAAATAGAAAGTCTAAATAGACCAATAACAAATATTAATAAATAGACTGAACAACTAGTCAAAAACCTCCTAAGAAAAGACCAAAACCGATAGCTTTATAGCTTTACAGCTGAATTCCACCAAGCATTCAGAAAAATTAATATCAATGCATCTAAAACTATTTCAAGAAATAGAGATAGAAGGAATACTTCCAAACACATTTTATAAGTCTAATATTGCTTTGATACCTAAGCCAAAAACGTCATAAGAAACAAACAAAATATAGGCCAATTTTTCTGATGAAAATTTATGTAGAAATCCCCAATAAAATATCAGCAAATCAAATCCAACAACACGTCAGAAAAGATTATACATCACGGTCATGTGTGATTTATTTTTGGCATTAAAGACTGGTTTAACCATCCAAATCAATCAATGTGATTCATCACATTAACAGAATGAAAGGTAAAAATCACATGATCATCTTAATTGACACAGAAAAAACATGTGACAAAGTTCAGCATTGTTTCTTGTTACAAACCGTCAGTAGTCAGGTATGGAAGAAAATTTCCTCAAAGTAATAAAGACCACTTGTGAAAAGTTCACAGGTATCATTTCCCATTAAAATCAATGGGAAAAAACTGAAAGCTTTTCCACTAAGATTCAGTACAAGGCAAGGATGCCCACTCTCACCACTTCTATTTAACATAGTACTGGAAGTACTAGCAAGAACACTCAGACAAGAAATGAAAGGCATCCAAATCAGAAAGGAAGAAGCATATGTCTATTTGCATATAGCATTGTGCCATATTTAAAACACACACACACACACACACACACACACACACACAAATTCCACAAAAACTCTTAGAATTAATAAATGAATTCAGTAAAGTTGCAGAATACAAAATCAACATACAAAAATAAGTAGTGTTTCTATATACAAACAATAATCTAGCTGAAAATGAAATCAAGAAAGCAATCCCCTTTATGATAGCTATAAAAAATGCCTAGGAATAAATTTAACTAAGCAGGTGAAAGACCTCTACAAGAAAATCCACAAAACACTGATGAAAGAAACTGAAGAGGATACAAACAATTAGAAAGATATCCCATACTTTGAATGAGAAGACTTAATATTGTTAAAATGTCCATAATACCCAAAGCAATATACAGATCCAACACAATCCCCATAAAAATCCCAGTAGCATTCTTCACATAAGCAGAAAAATAATCCTAAAATATATATAGAACCATAAAAGACCCCAAACAGCCAAACCAATTCTGAGAAAGAACAAACTTAGAGACATCACACTTTCTGTTTTAAAATTATTTTACAAAGCTATAGTAATGAAAACAGTATGATACTGACATAAATACAGATATACAGACCAGTGGAACAGAATAGACAGCCCAGAAATAAATGCAAGCATTTACAGTTAACTAATTTTTGAGAAGGGAGTCAAGAGGACTCAAGGGGAAAGAACAGCATCTTCACTAAATGGTTCCAGGAAAATTGGATTTCCACATGCAAAGGAATGAAATTGGGCCCTTAGCTTACATTAAAAAATCAAATAAAAATGGTTAAAAGACCTAAATATAAGACCAAAAACTAAAAAATCTCCTAGAAAGCAACATATTAAAAGCTCCTAGACGTTGGCCTTGGCAATGATTTTTTTGAATATCACATCAGAAGTTCAGGCCACAAAAGAAAAAATGAATAAGCAGGACTATATCGAACCAAAAACATTTTTCACAGCAAAGGAAACAATCAACAAAATGAAATGGTAGCTTACATAATATGATAAAAACATAGTCACAAATCACATAACTGATAAAGGGTTAATATTCAGTATTCGTAAAGAACTCTTACCACTCAATAGTGGAAAAACAAGTAACCTCATTAAAAAAAAAATGGTCAGAAGGCCTCAATACACATTTCTCCCAAGAAGAGACAGAAAAAACAAATGCTGGCAAGAATGTGGAGAAAGGAGAACTCTTATACACTGTTGGTAGACATGTAAATTAGTATAGCTATTATGGAAAACAGTATACAATGTGTATAGCCAAAGGAAATGAAATCACTATGTCAAAAAGATATCTACACCCCCCATGTTTTTTATAGAATTATTCAGAATAGCCAAGACATGAAATCCACCCATGTGTCCATCAATGGAAGAACAAATAAAGAAATTATGGGGCATATACACAATGAAATATTATTCAGCCATAAAAAGAAGAAAATTCTGTCATTGTCAACAACATGGATAAACCTGTAGGATATTATGTGAAGTGAAATAAACTAGGCACATAAAGACAAATACTAAATTATCTCACTCATATGTGGAATCTAAAATCTTTATTTCATAAAAGTAGAGTAGAATGGTGGTTACCATGGATTGGGAGCAGGAGGAGGTTGGGGAGGTGTGGGCTAAAGAATACAAAACTTTAGATAGAGAGGAGAAATAAGTTTAAGAGAGACATTGTGCAACATAGTGACTATAGTTAATAATATGTTGTGTTCTTGAAACATGCTAAAAGAGTAAACATTACCACTGTCACCACAAAAATGACAACCATGTGAGTTAATGCATATATTTATTAGGTAGATTTAGTTATTCAACAATGTATATATACTTTAAGCAACATTTTGTGCACAGTAAATACACACAATTTTATGTCAATTTAAATAAATAAATAATAAAAAAGAGAGATAACTCTGAAAAAAAGAAATACCAGTTTATGGATTGTGAAAAAAATATCTGCAAGCCATTTATATGATAAGAGGTTAATACCCAAAATTTATAAAGAACTCAGACTACTCAATAGTGGAAAAACAAATAACCTGATTCAAAAATAGCCAAAAGACTTGGATAGAAATTTTTCCAAAGAAGATATAAAAATGGCCATCTGGTATATGAAAAGGTGTTGAACATCCTTAATCATCAGAGAAAGGAAAATCAATACCATTATGAAAGACCATCCTTACCACAACACACCTGTTGTAATGACTATTACCAAAAAGTCAAAAGATAACAAGTGTTGGTGAGGGTATGAAGAAAAGGGAACTCTTATACACTGTAGGTGGGAATGTAGATTGGTATAGCCATTTTGAAAATAGTATGGCCGTTTCTAAAAAATCAAAAATAGAACTACCATATAACCCAGCAGTCCCTCTTCTAGGAATATACACAAAGGAAATAAAATCACCATCTTGTAAAGATACCTGCACTCCTATTTCTTTGCAGCATTATTCACAATAGCCAAGATATGAAAACAACCTAAATGTTTGTTGTTGGATAAATGGATAAATTGTGATACATATATACAATAGAATATTACTCAGCTGTGAAAAAGAATGAGATCTTGCCATTTGCCACAATGTGGAAAAGCCAGGAGAACATATGCTAAATGAGATAAATCAGATGCTGAAATGAAGATATTGCATGATATCAGTTATTTCATATATACAGATGGAGAGCAAAACAGTGGTTACCAGGAGTGGGGGTGGGGAGGAAGTGGGAGGTACAGTTCACAGCATTCAAAGCAGCAGATATGTAGGAATAACAAGTTTAGGATCTGATGTACAACATGAGGACTACAGGTAATATAATTGTACTGTATATAAGATTTACGCTAAATGATTAGATTTTAGCTGCTCTTGCCTTCAAAACAAAAATATCTATAACTATATGTGATGACAATTGTGTTAATTTTCTTCATTATTGTAACTTTTTGCTGTCTGTATGTATCCCATAATATGCTGTATATCTTGAATACACACAATACAATTTATTTATTTATTTATTTATTTATTTTATTTTATTTTTTGAGACGGAGTCTCACTCTGTCACCCAGGCTGGAGTGCAGTGGTGCCATCTCGGCTCACTGCAAGCTCCGTCCCGGATTCACACCATTCTTCTGCCTCAGCCTCCCAAGTAGCTGGGACTACAGGCACCCGCCACCACGCCCGGCTAATTTTTTGTATTTTTAGTAGAGACGGGGTTTCACCGTGTTAGCCAGGATGGTCTCGATCTCCTGACCTTGTGATCCGCCCGCCTCGGCCTCCCAAAGTGCTGGGATGACAGGCGTGAGCCACTGCGTCCGGCCAATACAATTTATTTAAAATTAAATAAGAATTATTTCTTAAAAAAAAAGAACCCCTATAAATAAATAAAATGAAAGACAAATTTAATGAAGCGGGGGAAAAGTACAGAGAGTTTATGAGAAAAGATTTCCACATAGCTTGTAAATATGTAAAAAACTGCTTAACATAATTAGACGTCAGGGAAATGTAAATTAAAAAGCATGAAATTTTAAAAGTGGCAATTCTAGGTGGCGAAAAGGATGTGGGCAATTAAATTAAATAAGAGTGTAAACCGGTAAAATAACTTTGGAAAACTGATAGCGTCTGAACATATGCATTGTCTATGACCCAAGACATTCTCTCCTAGGAATATAACGAGCCACCAAAAAAAGGTACAAGAATGTTCACAGCATTGTTCATAATGTATAAACCAAGACATAATCTAAACACTCACCGATAGTAGAAAGCATAACTGAATTGTGGCATAATAATACAATGGACACAATTAGCGTAGAAAATGAACCGACATATTACTTGCAACAACATGACTGAATCTCACAATCAGAAACCTGCATGAAAGACCTGATCCCCAATTAATCTAAACTGTATTGTATGATTATGAGTCCGTTTCTGAAAAATTCAGAAAGAAGCAAATATAAGTATTGCTTTTAGAAGTCAGAATACTGGTTGTCTGTGGGGTGGAAGAGTGGATAGTGACAGGAGTGGGTGCAAAAAGGAATTTCTGAGATGCTGGTGATGTTTTATTTCTTGACTCTCATGGTGGTTATATGATTATGTTTTTTTGGTGACAATTCACCAACCTGTACACTGTGGTTTTATGTTCTTTTCCATAAGCAGGCTTCATTTCAATAAAAATGTTTATTTATAAAATTGAAGATAAAACACCAAATTCCATGCCATGGAATATAGTCCTTCTTGTTCCAGGGTTTATGACTTCATACCACCCATGTGCTCTTAATCTCTGCATGTAAGACATTAATACGGTCTTAAAATATTTAAACAGCTTCCAGGCACAGAGAAACAAATACTGTATGATTTTATTTATATGTGGAATCTAAAAAAGTTGCTCATACAAGTAGAGAGTAGAATGGTGGTTACCAGAGACTGAGGTCTTAGGGGAGGTGGACTGGGAAAGGGGAGACATTGGTTAGTGGGCACAAAGTTACAGTTAGATAGGAGAAATAAGTTCTGGTATTCTATTGCACAGCAAGGTGAGTATAGTTAATAATAACGTATTGTATATTTCAAAATAACTAAAAGAGAGGATTTTAAATGTTCTCACCGCAAAGAAAGGATAAATATTTAAGGTGATGGATATGCTAATTACCTTGATTTGATTATTTCACAATGTTTACATGCATCAAAACATTACACTCTACCCCATAAACATGTGCAATTAATTGTCAATTAAAAAGAAAACAAAAGTTGAAAAATATTTAAAGGGCTGTTTTAACAGACTCTTACTTTTTAGTAGGAAAAAATAAAGTTGTTCATTTTGAAATTTTGGCTTGCATTCCAAGGAATTATATAATTTCCTGTCTGATAGAGGAAGGTTCCTTGTTTCAATAATAAATGACCTCTCTATGTCCTCTACAGTATTAGAAAAACATCCTTCTGTAAAATTCTTTTTAGGTTTTCAGTTTCTTTTCAGGGTTATTGATGTTCCCTCCAAAGTCAGGAAAAGGAGCAATTTCTGTCCTTGGATTCATATTTGATTGTAAGCTCAAGATCATAGCCCTCAGAGTTGCTAGCTTAGCCTTTCAGTTTATGTTTCTGCCTACTGGTGTACTTCATTCTCCTTAATCCATTAATACAGCTTGACTATTTTTTAACCTTAAGATAAGGGTGTTCTTTTTTTTCCTGTCTACAAAGCAAATAAGAAAGTATAGAATTTTAAGTAAAGTTGCAATTTGATAGATGTGACTGATTTTTCGTGGTAAAGCAACTAAAGAGGCGAGTTTACTAATTTATTATAATTAAAACATTTTATTTAGGTAGCCACACAACAAATTGCATTCCTGCATTAATGTGTTGTCACTTGAATCTAAGTTCAGATTTTGAATTCTAACAAGAATATTTTAAATTATTTTTGAAACAAACTGATCCATTTTTTTTAAAAAATGACCTTAATAAAAACTAAATGATCTGAAAATCACCAGTCTTATCTCGTATTTTGAAACTCAAATGAGAAGTGGAAGCTGTGTTTATGATTAGGGGATATGGAAAGATGACTATGAGAAATGTCTCATAGATTTGGAGCATCAGAATATATATGGCTATTTTCAGCAAAAAAAAAAAGAAAAAAGTGAATTATGGAAGTCTCTTGGGTGTAAACTGTATAAAGGTATCTTTTATTCAGCATTCCCAGGGATTAGATAGTACACAAATTGATAAGCCAAGCACTACTCATTATATAATGGTTTGCACTAGTTTTGCTTTTTTGAAAAATTTCTTTACAGCCATAAAGTCATTTCTCAAATATCTATCTTCTCCTCCTTTCAAATTAAAAATAAGTCTGGATGATTCCTGTAAAATGAAAAAAAGAGGCAGTGTTGAGTAATGGCAAAAAGAATAACCTTGGAATCTGGTTCTTGGCTTCTAGACCTGGCATTACCCCCTCAGCATTTCTTTGGGCACATCAGTCTTTCTGAGTCTCAGTTTCCTCATTTGTAAAATGTGGATAACAACTCTTGTTCCACTTACCTCACTGGTTGTTTTGAACAAGTGTGGTAAATCAGAAAGCTCTGTAAAAACCTATTACATAAATGTCAGGTGTTACTAATACTACTACTATTTTAAAAAGAATTATTGGGACTAAATTTCTAAGATGGTACATCTCTGTTTGACTCAGTTGCTTGACTTACACTGAATTCATTTTCTATTGAACTTGGAAATGTCTAGAAGCTATCCAATTTTGTAACCTGCAGGGAATATTTAAAGCTTTAGAAACTAAAGAAAGCATCTGCCTTATGTTGTGTAAATGATGTGCAAATGCTACCAAATTATTTGTTTTAGATAGGCATAAAATTTAAGAGAAACAAACAAACAAGAAGGCAGAGGAAGCATTTCCTACAGTTGAAATTGCTTATAATCTCTATGTATTTAAATGTACTAGATTAGAGCAGAGGGGCTAGCCCTGGCAAATGTGCTACCAAGAGGCCACTCAAGGCCATTTGCGGAAAGACATTGGCTTTAGTACAGTTACCCTTAAGTAACTTCTAGTTCTTTTTCCCTATGACCGTACAATTTGGCTCCCATTGCTAGTGGGCACCACTCTTCCAGGCTCTCCCTGTTCCAGACTGTAGTGGTGTTCCCCACCCCTCTTCATTTGCCTATAACTGCCAAAGCTTTGAGGTTTCCAAAAGGCAAACACAGCCTGATCCTTCCCCCAGTGGCTGCTTCTGAATGTGTCAAACCATTTTTTCCATCTATTGGACTTGGAGACACAAGGAAAAAGAAAAGTTATGGGAAGGCTCCTGAATGTTTAAAGTGGGCTGACTCATCTGACCCAGGTCACACTGACCATTTGGACTCCTCAGAGCGTTTTCTGTGTACCTTGAGAGCTCCCTGACCAGTTGCCAGCATCATTATCAAAGAAGCTGCCGTCCATAGTTCCCTACAAGTTGGTCTAGTCCACAATCACAGGTCAGAAATAATCTGCCATCTGAATGATGGTAGAACCATCCTGAATCACATGCGGCTTCATGTGGCAGGACAATTGTTTGGCTCAGTTGTTCTACTTGAGGGTTTCCTATACCAGTCAGAAGGATTATATTGCAAAATGGAACACACTGGCCTCTTTAAAAAATTATTTACATATCATGCATTTGTTATTATGGTAGATTTCACATAATTCTAAATTATATGTCCAGTGCTAATATCAGGTGATTCCTGTATTCAGAGAATTGTGGTGAAAATTGCCTGTGGAGTATTGGCAATAAAGACAAAGGAGGTATGCAGAATGATTGCCCAGAATATCACTAGTAACATATTGGGCATGATTTTCCCTTGCCTTATCAGGAGGGTGTGATAATATACTGAGCCAACAGAGAAATAGCTTAACAGTACAACAGCCAGGGATCTCTGAGGGATGCTTCCAGTTCCCCACATTGGTCTTAGCAGCAGCCTTTCTACATTAAAATCGATTTCCATTAGTTCACTGGTGGAAAAACACAAAAATCTGTCAGGTTGCTCATTTTAATCAGCACATAGTCTTATTTGACTACTGGATATTTTGTGTGATATCCATATTTTAATTTTAGAATGCCTCAAAATATTTTCAATATTTTTCTTGTTCCAATTTTAACATTTTTCTGGTTATTTCATACTATATTCCTTTGTATACATTTGTGCTACTACATGTGGGTTTCCAAATTGTACTTTTTCTAAATAGCATTTTGGCCTTCAACATTTTTATTTAAATGAGATGATCGAAGAAAAACAACTTCCCCTACTACCAAAGTCAGTGCCTGAGCCAAACACATTCCAGCTTCCCGCTCTCATTCTCCTTGTCTTACTGATTTTTATTCATCTTTCAGACCTTAAGTGAAATAAATGTTCCTTCCTTAGGGGAATCTCCGCTAAATCCTAGAACTAGTTTAGATCCTCCAGTAATACATTCACATAGTTCCTAGCACCTTAGGTTCACATCACTTTATACCATTCTTATTACATACCAATTTGTATAACTGTTTTTTAGGTCTAATGGCTTCCCTTCTGGACTATAAGCTCCAGGAGAGCAGACACTGTGCTTGTCTTGAACTCTCCTGAATTTTCTTTTTCTAATAGATTAGCTGGCACCTTAGTAGTAGCTCAAAAATATTTTGTGTAAGTGAAGAATGAATAAATCAACATCTCTCTGGCACACAATTCCTCGTAAACCTAACACCTGTAATAGTGATGAAACCTGGAGCAAATTCAGGAAATCTGTGTCCACTAGTTGACCAGGTGTAAAAGATAAACTCTCTGATTCTTGCTTCAGTTGACAAAGTTTTCACGGTGCATTAATTCTCCCAATCTTCAAGCTATTACAGAATCAGAGGCTTTGCAGACGGGGGTCTGTATTTTGTCCCTTTGATGGACCACCTGCCAGGTGTAACTCAAATAGCTTTAGAATCTAGCCCTAAGACATGGGTGGTATTCTCTGTGCTCATTCAGTTCAACCATTATAAGGTGAGGTAACTTCACTATTTTCTTCCAACAGATGCAAAGACAGAGATCGAGAAATACCGTGCCCATTGCTCTTACAGGCTGGCAATAAATGGCTGCAAATATAAAGAATGAAACATTTTTTTAAATTCTCATTTTACCGTTTCTAGAGAGATTACCAACACCTGTGCTTCTTTTAGGTCCCACTGTGCCTATTAAGAATTTTACATTATTTCTGATTACTCAACTCTACTAAGGCAATCAACTGAGTCCACTTGCTTGCCAAACAGGAAATGACTGAAAAAAAGGCAAATACAAGGACAGCAAATCCTTTGAGCCATCTTATTAGGCACTGAAGAGCCATTTTGATGGCAATCTTCCTTTCCTTTACTGGAAGCAGACTAAACCAAACTCTCACTTGATTTCCCAATTTAGAAGCTACTGCTTATTGTACACCTACAAAGTAGTATTCGTACACACACTTTCTGAAAAGACATGAAAGAAGAGGCTTAAAGACCCCAGTGGTTATCATGCAATCTTTCAATTCTAGATAAAGTTAAAACCTTGACCTTTAGTTTTTCCCAACAAATTAGACAGTGTGAGGTAGGTTTTTGTATTCCAACTGTCATTTGTTTTAAATATATATTTTGGAACATGAACATTGAACACAATAGGGACACAGTATTTATACCTGATTTTTAAAAGTGGGGCTTGGATGTTGATTTGAAATGTTTGGTAAGCTTTTGTTTCCCTTCACCATAGTGCTTGTGCTATCAAAGCGAACATGTGGCAGAACTTTAAGGACTGATGCCAAACAT
This sequence comes from Homo sapiens, assembly GCF_000001405.40. Taxonomy (NCBI): domain Eukaryota; kingdom Metazoa; phylum Chordata; class Mammalia; order Primates; family Hominidae; genus Homo; species Homo sapiens. Next base: position 188,853,454 of record NC_000002.12, read on the forward strand.
ATGGTATCCACAACCAGTCAGCATAACCTTTGGAATGCTAATTGCAGAGAAGAGCCAAATGAAAATGCTTAATAGCACACATATGGCCGGTTGAGGATTTCCTCACAGAATGACTGACTACTCTAAGGCATGTAAATATCTCTGTCAAGTAGAACAGACAACTTTTAATGTTGCAAGAAATATCAGGATTAAACATAGTCTTTTACAAGTTTTATGTATTTTTAAAATATGCAATTAGAATATAATTTTCATATCTTTATTAAACCTATAAAATGCCTTTCCCCAAACTATATGCCTTCTAAAAGGGCCTGCCATTTTCCTATTAATTTTTAGCCTGAAACTATCAGAATTATAGATGCAATAATTTTTGCTGAACTAAATATATAAAAATTCCATGAAAACAACTGCCACAGCAATGTAAATTTAATATCTAGATAAAGCATTTATTTTAAGCCCTAATTGTGGATCAAAACTTTTCAGCTCAAAGGATGGGCAGTGATCACTTAATTTAAATGCACCACTTGATATAGAGGAAATTATGATTCATAGAAGTTACATGACTTGTCCAATGCACACGGTGTGGCAGTAGCTAAGCCCAATTTGAACCTGTGATTTCATTAATATATCCCAATATTATTTTCATTAACTTACTCCATCATATAAAATATATTATCCTCTAATAAGAATGTTAAGGGACCATTAAAACTCTGTTGAAATTGTTATTTGCTGAGGAACAAAATGAATATAACTTTTGCCTTTTTTGAGGGTTTTTAGGGGGACCTATTTCTAGTTCCTTCTCTCTTTAGACCCCATCTTGCCCCTTTTTATCTGAAGTTGTTCTTCCATGTAACATGCTACCTCAACATAGAAAGGAAATCGATTGAATCAGCACTAACCTCAGACTTTCCTCTCCCACCAACTCTCTCAGATCATTGTTTCTAATCTCATCACAAAGCTACAGCCTAAGTGGACTAAGATTGGCTGTACAGACTTATGACCAAATTTAAAAATTAAAATTTGTTACTCTGCCAACTATCTCATTTATGTGGTACATCCATAAAAGCTCATTGAAAAAGAATGTATTTACAAATTTCTAATTGTCTCATTTAGATGCATATTTCTAAAATACTGATCAACATAGAACATAGTAATATTTTATTTTGATTTTGTTTTATTTGTTTTTGCTAAGAATACTGAGTTCATAAACTTCTGGTAACAGTTCCCTATTGCTGCATAACACACCACTCTGAACTCTTTATACTAAAACAATGATCATTCATCTGCTTATGATAATGGGAACAGGTCAAGTTTCATTGGGTATGGTTTTTCTGTGGTCCATGTCGTGTTACTCTTGGCAGTTGGTGTTGGGGTGGGAGAGGTGGGATCTATTTGGGGCTAAACATTCTAAGATGGCTTTACTCATGTGCCTGGCACCTCAGCGGAAGTGGTAGAATCACTGAGGCCTCATTGAGATGGCTGGGCCTTCCTATTCTAGTGATGGGTTCTGAGTATGGGCTCACCTATATATCTGTGTGGGATCTTGATTTTCCTCCAGGTGGCCCCACTGTTTCCATGTGAATAGTCTAGACTTCTTTTCATGGTAGTTAACTTCCAGGTGAGTGAAAGCAGGCACTGCTAGGTATACTAAGTTCTAGGCTTGGGACTGACAAGGGTTATTTCCTCTGTATTGATCAAAGCAAGTCATAAGACCATCCAGATTTGAAAATGGCATACAGACTTTACATTTTGAAGGAAGATGGGCAATATACATTTAGGTGTGGGAATAATTGTTGGTGACTAATTTGTAGACAATCACTTGTGTGAATTTATATTTAGGTTAGACAAATAAAAGTATGGTTCTATCTTGAACTACCAATCATCTTTCTCTACACCATTGATGAAACCCTCAATCAAGAACAATAAAGACTTGATTGTATTGTTCTAAGTCTTTCTTTTTTAGTCATATATTATGTGTTACCTTCTGCTCTACTTCTGCAGTTCATGTTGGTTCGGACAGCTACTTATGAAATCCTTAGATTAAGGCTAACATATTAACTATCTCCATAGGCAAAATTGCTCAAAACTTAGGCTTTAATACACAAAATATATTTTCTTTCTAACCACAGTTCAAACACTTACAATTTATTGCTCTAATATTTCTCTGCCTAACATCTCCCACACAAGACCATTAAATACAATAAATCTAGAAGACATTGCCTTCTTTCAGTGCAAACCAGGTCTATCACTTCTGTGAAAAGATGATAAATCTTGACTGCAAAATGTCTTTAAAGTTATGGCTCCCTCCTGCCAAATGACTGTAAAGTATAAGGTTTCATATACCTGTCTGACTTTAATTTGAGGGAAAAATACAAAGAGATAGATGTTAATTTTAATCTCAAAAGCCACATCTTATTTTCAAATTTTATTTACTCTATCTTTCCTGATCTCTCATATCAGCCTTCCTCTACTTTCTCTTTATACCGTTCACACACTTCCCAAGTTGTAAGTATCTTTCCTTGCTGAAAGTTTACTTACCTGAGTGAATCTCTTTATATAACAAGTAAGTTTAATAATATAGCAATAAATATAATTTGTACACCAAGTAAAGCCTTAACTATTCTTACTAACTGAAGGATCAATATGTTTTTCCTGAAGAAACAGAAGGAGAAGGACATTTCAGGTTTAGGGAACAATGTGAACAAAATATGAGGCAGGAAAATGTAGGAAATGTCCAGGAAATGGTGAGTGATCCTTTATGACTAAAGCAGGTTTATGTACAACTTAAAGATCAGTTCTAATTTACAATATGTTTGCTAAGACTGAGTAGTGTTTTAAAATATTTGAAATCTTTGTTAATATTTAATATCTGGGAAATTTCACATCACCTTTCAGATTCTTGATTTGTCTTGAAAAACTAAGATGGAAACCATGAGCTCTTTTTTTCTGCGTAGCAATATAAATTAATTGGACTAGGCTAAATTCTATAATAAGCAGCTTCAAATTTTCAGTGGCTTGACACTATATATATATGAATACAGATATATATATAAATCTGTATTAGTCAGGGTCCTCTAGAGAGACAGAACTAATAGGGAGTTTATTAAGTATTAACTTACGCAATCACAGGGTCTCACAATAGACTATCTGCAAGCTGAGGAGTAAGGAGAGACAGCCCAAGTCCCAAAACTGAAGAATTTGGATGTTCGAGGACAGGAAGCATCCAGCACGAGAGAAAGATGGAGGCTGGGAGGCTAGGCTCTTCTCACTTTTTCATGTTTTTTCTGCCTGCTTTATATTCACTGGCAGCTGATTAGATTGTGTGCCCACCAGATTAGAGTGGATCTACCTTCCACAGACCACTGACTTAAATGTTCATGTCTCTTTTGGCAACACCCACACAGGCACACCCAGGATCAATACTTTGTACCCTTCCGTCCAATTAAGTTGACACTCAGTATTAACTATATATATTTATATAGCGAATACAAGTATTTAAATATATATATTTAATTTTCCAAAGCAATGGTTCTGTATTAGTTCATTCTCATGCTGCTAACAAAGACATATCCAAGACTGAGTAATTTATAAAGGAAAATGGTTTAATGGACTCATGGTTCCACATGGCTGGGGAGGCCTCACAATCATGGTGGAAGATGAAGGAAGAGCAAAGGGACGTCTTACATGGTGACAGATAAGAAAGCTTGTGCAGGGGAACTCCCATTTGTGAAACCATTAGACCTCATGACTCTTATTCACTACCATGAGAACAGTATGGGGGAAACCACCCCCATAATTCATTTTTTTTTCCCTTGGCCCTGCCCTTGACACTTGGGGATTATCACAATTCAAGGGGAGATTTGGGTGGGGACACAGCCAGACCATATCACGTTCAACCAAGGTGTTCTTCATCTGGTGCCTTTTCCATATGGGCTCTCTACCAAATGATGTATGACAAGCACAAGCGCATTTTATCTTATCATTGCATCTTCCTCTGGGACTTTGGATATCTCCATTCAGCAGGGTAAAGAAGAAAGAGAACAGAGAATTATGCATGGGCAAGTTTTATGGTTCAGGCCTAGATAGGGTGTTTGTCAGTTCTATGAACCAGAAATCAATCATATGCCTCACTCAATGGCAATGAAGGCTGGGAAATATGTTGTAGCTGTTACTCGGGAAGAAAAGAACTGGCTTGTGAACAATTAGCCAATGCCTGCCACAAGACAGCAGCCTGGAGGTGAGTAGCCCCTACTCTTTTAATCAGTGTGTGTGGTGCCTCTTTCACCACAGTATGCACCCAGCCTGCTGAACTCATCTCAGTGGTCGGCCTGGGTGCTGTAGGCATTTAAGTGTGCAACCCTCAGGATAGGAAATGAAAAAAAGCGTGTCTAGAAGAAGTAAAGAAGGTTCTTTCTGTAAAGGGAAAATATTTAGTAAACCTTGCATTTAACAGAAAAGAATTTTGTTCTTTTTGTTCTTTTTGTTTGTTTTTTGGAGAGCACAATTCTCTCTTTTGGTCAATGGACCATACCGAGATGTAAGAGGACAAGCAATTATCTAGTTTTTAAGTCAATCTATGAATATTTAAATATTTTATAACTTCTAGCATTGCTTTTGCTGTACTTCTAAATAAAATTAAGTATTTCTGGTATTTTTATGGTACCAATATTTTTCTCATTGTAAGAGAACTCTGATTTATGGAATGTGATTTTGAATGATAAAGAGAGATTTAATACACAGTCTAGTTGTTTGACATTTTTCTCTGTAAACTTGTCAATTCCTTGATTGTTCAGACCAAGTTTACCAATGTCAGGATATAGTTAGTATTTTTTGAAAAGCCTTGTTTTTGCAGGCATAATTCTTTTAAATGTTGTATATCTCGAGCCTGGGAACTTCTTAGAAATTTCAGATGATCTTCCTTTGTGCATTTGTTAAAGTGAAATGGATATATAATAAATATTCAGATAAGTCTTAGTAATGCAAAGGAACTTGAGACCATTAAATTTAATCTCACTTTACAATGAAGTCACTGAGGCTGCAGGAGGTAAACTCCTTTGTCCAAGTACTTAGATCTATTTAAATTTCAGGGAATTTCTAGATTGCTTTGCAGCATAGTACCTTTATTTATGTCAAACCATCATTAAATTTTACTACAAACACTGAATTGATGATTTGGGAGATTTCATGGTGTTGTTATCAAAGAGAGGGGAGGCTTAAGGTAAGACACAGACAGACGTATTAGGAAATGTAGCACGGAACTAAATTAAGAGTGGATATTATAGCACAACCTTTTCCAAAATATACTAGAGGTAGATGACATTTGAAGAGGTTTTTAAGTTGTCAGAGCTTCTAAATACATGTAAAACATATCATAGTGCCTTCTCCTATTGTTCCTTAATCTATCCAGCACTGAATTATCCTATTCAGCCATTTTTCTCCCCACTGTTTCATCTAAGCTCACCCACTCTTTTCTACCACCTGGACCCAGGGCAGAGTGAATACAAATAGGGCTACTTTCAGTGCTTTTCAGAAACGAGTTCCCCTTTTGATACTTTTGATATCTTCCTATGAAAGAAAATGTCTTTCCTGAATCCCAATTTCTTTTTTGTCAGTCTAAGACCCTCACTCTTTGTAGCCTGCATCGTTTTTGTTTTCCCACTTTCCTTCACTGAGATAGCAACTCTGTCCTCCTATACCTGTTCATTCTCCCTATTATATAGCCCACTGCCCAGCCCTGGTTACTCTTTGTCTTACCGGTTCTAACCATCCTGATTTCTTAATGATTGACTTCCTTTCCCATAGGCATGATCTTATTTGCTCATTATATGTCTTCAGACTGCATTAAGCAGTCTAAGCCTGCACCATAGATCTAAGATGAAAATTATTTGGCCACTAAATATGTGACTTACAGTGATCTTACATGTAAGGTTACCTGATTCTAGGAAAATGTATTGCTAATTACTATTTCACATTTTCATTTTGTTTGTATAGCAGGAATGTATGATGACTTTGATTTTTGGACAGCTAACTCTTTTATAACTCAGTTATATGAGTTCCTCCATAAAACTTCTAAAGCTTTTACCATAAGTCAAGTATATTACAAACAGCAATTTGTACTGGCCTATATAATGGGTAGGGCAACATAGCAGTATATGAGATGTCTACTATTAGCCAAATTACCTCAGAGTTCCATTTAACTTCCAAAAATTCTTCAAAGTTTAATTCTCAGGATTTAGTTGCACCTGTGCTTAAAATTTTAACAAATTTATTATGACAAAAACAGAAATATATACCATCAGGGAGTTAGATAAGGTTATGAAGTTGTAGACATCTAAAATTTCATTTAAAAATGTCAGATAATCTAAGATAAGCTTTGGACAAACAAATGTGCTTAGAAAATATACAAAGTCATTCTCAAAAAAATTAAAAAATAAAGTTTCACTAAGGAGACCCTTCATGATTCATACTCTGAGTTTTAGCATACCATAAAAGTTATCTTCTAACCCCTAAATTTGGTTTCACTTATAAGTTCATTGTTATCTTAAAGTATCTGACTGATATTCCAATATCTGGGCAGTCTCTGTCATCTTTCTTAACTATTTTCTTGCTTGATTCTTTTTTACCATAGATCATATTTTCTTCCACATTCACATCTCTACTGATTTTTTGTAGTGGACCAGATATTTTTATATAAAAATAAAATGTAAAATAAGAGAGTAGGTAACACTTCCAAACTCAATTTATGAGGCTAGTATTACTCTGACATCAAAACAAGACAAAAACATCATAGAAAAAGAAAACTAAAAACCAGTATCTATAATTAATAGTGATGAAGAAAAGTCCTTTACAAAATACTCTCAAACTGAATCCAGCAACATATGAAAAGAATTATACACCATAATTAAGTGGAATCTATCCCAGGAATTCAAGGTTGGTTTAATATCCAAAAATCAATTAATATAATCCTATCTATGAAATAAAAAACAAAAATCACATGATCATCTCAACAGATGGAGAAAAAACGTTTGACAAAATGCAATACCCTTTTATGATATAAACACTCAACAACATGGAATAGAGAGAAACTTCCTCAATCTGATAAAGGGCGTCTATCAAAAACCCACAACTAACATCACCCTGATGATAAAAGACTGAATGCTTTCACTATAAGATCAGAAACAAGGATTTCTGTTCATATCACTTCTATTTAACATTGTACTGCAGATTCTAGAGCAATTAGGCAAGATAAAGAAACAAAAGGCATCCAGATTGCAAAAGAAGAAGCAGAACTATTTCTATTCACAGATGACATTATCTTGTATATAAAATATCCTTAGGAACCAACCAAAAAGCCATTATAACTAATAAGCACAAGTTTATGGGATATTAGACAAATATTTTTAAAATTAATTTTATTTCTAAAAATTTGTAATGAACAATTCAAAAATGAAATTAAGAAAATAATTCCATTATAATAGCTTCAAAAATAATAAAATTTTTAGGACTAAATTTTTACAAAGAAGTACCAAACTTATACTCTGAAAACTGAAACACATTATTGAAAGAAATTAAATATCTAAATTAATAGAATAAATCCCAGGTTTCTGTACTGAAGTTATTAGATTGTTAGGATGTCCAGTATTTTCCCAAACTGATATACAGATTCAATGCTATCCCTATGAGAATCCCAGCTAAATTATCTGTAGGAACTGAGAAGCTGATTTTTAAATCCATGTAGAATTGCCAGAAGCTCAGAATACTCAAAACCAACTTGATAAAGAGCAAAGAAAGAAAACTCACACTTCCTGAATTCAAAACCGAATACAAAGAAACACTCTTCAGGACTGTGTGGTACTAGCTTAAGTATAAAGTTAATGGAACAGAACTGACAGCTCAGAAATTAATCCATATATCTATGGTCAACTAATTTATGACATGGATGCTGAGACAAACCAATGGGAAAATAATCAACAAAAAATTGTGCTTAGACAACTATGCAGGTAAATTCAAAAGAATGAAGTTTGAACCTTATCTCATACCACATAAAAATTAACTCATAATTGATCAAAGACCTAACTATAAAAGTTAAACTATAAAACTCATAAGATAAAATTATAGATAAATCTTCATGATCTTGGATTTAGCAAAGATTTTTTTACTATGACACCAAAGCATGAGGAACAAAGAAAAAACTGATAATTTGGACTTCAGCAAAATTAAAAACTTCTGTGCTTCAAAGGACACTATCCAGAAAGTTAAAAGACAAACCCCAAAATATGATAAAATATTTGTAAATCATACATCTGATAAGAGACTTGTGTCTGAAATAGATTAAGAAATATTTCAACTTAATAAAAAAAGACAACCCAATTTAAAGGGCAAAGGACCTCAAAATATATTTCTACAAAGAAGATATACAAATAGCCATCAAGCACATGTGAAAAAAATGCTCAATAATTAGTCATCAGGAAAATGCATATCAAAACCACAGTAGATATCGCTTCATAACTACTAGAATTGGTAGAATAAGAAAGTCAGATAAGGGTGGGGCCAAGATGGTTGACTAGAAGCAGCAGTGATCAGAGGTCCCCATAGAAAAGAACCATAATAGTATGTAAATACTGCACCATCAACCAAGGTATCCAGGTTCTCTCATCAGAACTGACTAGGTGGGTGGTGTGACCCATGGAGAAGAAGGAATACCAGTGTGGTGCAGCCACCTGAGAGCCACACAGGGCAGGGAAGCCCCCACCCCCCAACCCAGGGAGATGGTGAGTGGGAGTGCTACCTAGCCAGGGAAATAGTGCTTTTACCATGGAACTGTGCAACCCAGGGATCAGAAGATTCCACTCATGAACCTACGCCACTGGGGCCTAGGGTCCCAACCCGAGATGCACAGATTCCAAACAGCCTCTCAACTAGAATCTGCTTAAGACTGCTGAGTTTCTGGGTGGGAGGAGTGACCAGCACCATAGATGTGACTGCCTGCTGTCTAAGTCCTTTGAGCTCCTTGAGGGAGGAGCAGCAGGCAGTTCTGGAACAGAGAGCTGCCTAAGACCCTAAGCGACCTGGTCCAGGAAAGGGTGGCAGCCATCTCTACAGCTCCAGGCGGTGCTTTTCCCCTGTTGAATTCAGGGAGGCTGCATGGCTTGGTCCCAAAAGGTGTCCCCCACAGCCCCACATGCTGGCTGTGGCAGACTGCAGCCAGATTGTCTCTTCAGGCCTGACCCTAACCCATTCCTCTTCACTGAGTGGGGCCTCCTTGCATGAACTCCAGCAACTGCAGCCAGTAGCTCAAGGACAGAACCCTGATCTCCCTGGGCCTGAGCCCTTAGGGGGAGGGGTGGCTACAGTCTCTCTGGGCCAGCTGACTTAGACTTTCCTGCTGGTAGTTCTGAGGAATCCAGGCAATCCAGATGAGTGAGTTCCCCCCAGTGAAGTACACCCCCTCCACCCAGGGACAGTCAAAGTGCTTTGTTAAATGGATCCTCTTCTCTGTGCCACCCAGCTGAGTGAGACCAACGGGGTTGTCAGACACCCTATACAGGAGCGATCCTACTGGCATCAGGTTGGTGCCCCTCAAGGCCAGAGATCCCAAAAGAAGGAGCAAGCACCCATCTTTGCTGTTCTCCAGCCCCCTTGAGTGACATCTCCAGGTGTAGGTGTGAACCAGATGAACAGGGCCTGAAGTGAACCCCCAGCAAACTGCAGCAGCTCTATGGTAAAGGGACCTGACCACTGAAAGAAAAACAAACAGACAACAACAACAGCATTAACAACAACAAAAAGTCCCCACGAAAACCCGATCCGAGCATCAACAGCCTTAAAGATCAAAACTAAACAAACTCATGAAGATGAAAAAGAATCAACAAAAAATGCTGAAAACCCCAAATGGCAGAGTGCCTCTTCTCCTCCAAATGATTGCACTGCCTGGATGGAGGATGAGATGGACAAATTGACAGAAGCAGGCTTCAGAAGATGAGTAATAAAAAAACTCTGCTTAGCTAAAGGAGCATGTACTAACCCAATGCAAAGAAGCTAAGAAACTTGAAAAAAGGTTAGAGGAGCTGCTAACTAGAATAACCAGTTTAGAGAGGAATATAAATGACCTGATGGAGCTGAAAAACACAGCATGAGAACTTTGTGAAGCATACATAAGTATCAGTAGCTGAATTGATCAAGCAGTAGAAAGGATATCAAAGTTTGAAGACCACCTTGCTGAAATAAGGCATGCAGACAAGATTAGAGACAAAAGAATGAAAGGGAACAAACAAAATCTTCAAGAAATGTGGGACTACGTAAAAAGACCAAAGGTACTATTGATTGGAGTATCTGAAGGAGACAGGGAGAATGGAAACAAGCTGGAAAACACACTTCAGGATATTATCCAAGAGAATTGCCCCTACCTAGCAAGACCAGCCAACATGCAGATTCAGGTAATACAGAGAACACCACTAAGATACTGCATGAGAAGATGAACCCCAAGACACACAATCATCAGATTCTCCAAGGTTGAAATGAAGGAAAAAATGTTAAGGGCAGCCAGAGAGAAAGGCCAGGTCTTCTGCAAAGGGAAGCCCATCAGACTAACAGCAGGCTTTCAGCAGAAACCCTACAAGCCCCAAGAGATTGGGGGCCAATATTCAACATTCTTAAAGAAAGAATTTTCAACCCAGAATTTCATATTCAGCCAAACTAAGCTTCAAAAGTGAAGGAGAAATAAAATCCTTCCCAGACAAGCAAATGCTGGTGTATTTCATTATCATCAGAACTGCCTTGCAAGAGCTCCTGAAGGAAGCACTAAATATGCAAAGGAAAAACCAGTACCAGTCACTGAAAAAACACACCAAAATATAGAGACCAATGACACTATGAAGAAACTGCATCAACTAGTGTGCAAAATAACCAGACAGCATCATGAGGACAGGATCTCTTTCACACATAACAATAGTAACCATAAATATAAATGGGCTAAATGCCCCCATTAAAAGACACAGACTGGCAAATTGGATAAAGAGCTGAGACCCATTGGTATGCTGTATTCAGGAGACCCATCTCATGTGCAAAGACACAAATAGGCTCAAAATAAATGGATAGAGGGAAAATTTACAAAGCAAATGGAAAGTTAAAAAAGCAGGGGTTGCAATTCTAGTCTCTGACAAAACAGACTTTAAACCAACAAAGATCAAAAAAGACAAAGAAGGCCATTACATAGTGGCAAAGGGATCAATTTAACAAGAAGAGCTAACTGATGTAAATATATATGCACCCCATACAGGAGCACCCAGATTCATTAAACAAGTTCTTAGAGACCTACAAGGAGACTTAGACTCCCACACAATAATAGTGGGAGACTTTAACACCCCACAGTTAATATTAGACAGATCAATGAGACAGAAAATTAACAAGGATATTCAGGACTTGATCACAGCTCTGGATCAAGTGGACCTAATAGACATCTACAGAACTCTCTACCCCAAATCAACAGAGTATACGTTCTTCTCAGTGCCACATGGCACTTATTCTAAAATTGACCATATAATCGGAAGTAAAACACTCCTCAGAAAATGCAAAAGAATTGAAATTATAACAGTCTCTCAGAACACAGCACAATCAAATTAGAACTCAGAATTAAGAAACTCATTCAAAAACACACAATTGCATGGAAATTGAAAAACCTGCTCTTGAATGACTCCTAGGTAAATAATGAAATTAAGGCAGAAATCAAGAAGTTATTTAAAACCAATGAGAACAAAGAGGCAATGTACCAAAATCTCTGGGACACAGCTAAAGCAGTGTTAAGAGGGAAATTTACGGCACTAAATGCCCACATGAGAAAGCTAGAAAGATCTGAAATTGACTCCCTAAAATGACAATTAAAAGAGCTAGAGAAGTGAGAGCAAACAAATCCAAAAGCTAGCAGAAGACAAGAAATAACTAAGATCAGAACAGAATTAACAGAGACAGAGACATGAAAAACCCTCCAAAAAATCAATGAATCCAGGAGCTGTTTTTTTGAAAAAAAGTTAACAAAATAGATAGACCGCTAGCCAGAGTAATAAAGAAGAAAAGAGAGAAGAATTAAATAGACACAATAAAAAATGATAAAGGGGATATCATCACTGACTCTGCAGAAATACAAACTACTGTCAAAGAATGCTATAAATGCCTCTACTCAAATAAACTAGAAAATCTAAAAGAAATTGATATATTCCTGGTCATATACATCCTCCCAAGACTAAACCAGGAAGAAGTCAAAACACTGAATATACTAATAATGAGTTCTGAAATTGAGGCAATAATTAAATGCCCAAAAACCAAAAAAAAAAAAAAAAAAAAAAAAGCCCAGGACCAGAGGGATTCACAGCTGAATTCTACCAGAGGTATAAAGAGGAGATGGCAACATTCCTTCTGAAACTATTCCAAACAGCTGAAAAGGAGAGACTCCTCCCTAACTCATTTTATGAAGTCAGCATCATCCTGATACCAAAACTTGGCAGTGACACAACAACAGCAAAAAACTTCAGGCCAATATCCCTGATGAACATAGATGTGAAAATCATCAATAAAATACCAGCAAATCGAATCCAGCAGCACATCAAAACACTTATCTACCGCAATCAAGTTGGCTTCACCCCTGGGATGAAAGGCTGGTTCAACATATGCAAACCAATAAATGTAATCCATCACATAAACAGAACCAAAGACAAAAACCACATGATTATCTCAATAGATGCAGAAAAGGCTTTTGATAAAGTTCAACATCCCTTCATGTTAAAAACACTCAATAAATTAGGCATTGATGGAACATATTTCAAAATAATAAGAGTTATTGATGACAAACCCACAGCCAATAACATCGAATGGGCAAAAGCTGGAAGCATTCCCTTTGAAAACTGGTACAAGACAAGGATACCCTCTCTCACCACTCCTATTCAACATAGTATTGGAAGTTCTGGCCAGGGCAATCAGGCAAGAAAAAGAAATAAAGTGTATTCAAATAGGAAGAGAGGAAGTCAAATTGTCTCTGTTTGCAGACAACATGATTCTATATATAGAAAACCCCATTGCCTCAGTCCAAAAATTCCTTAAGCTGATAAGGACCTTCAGAAGAGTCTCAGGATACAAAATCAATATCCAAAAATCACAAGCATTGCTTTACACTAACAATAGATAGGCAGAGAGTCAAATCATGAATAAATTCCCATTCACAATTGCTAAAAAGAGAATAAAATACCTGGGAATACAGCTAACAAGGGATGTGAAGGACCTCTTCAAGTAGAACTACAAACCACTGCTCAAGGAAATAAAGAGAGGACACAAACAAATTGAAAAATTCCAACCTCATAAGTAGGAAGAATCAGTATCATGAAAATTGCCATACTGCCCAAAGTAATTTATAGATTCAATGTTACTCCCATCAAACTACCATTGATATTCTTCACAGATTTAGAAAAAAACTTCTTTAAATTTCATACAGATCCAAAGAAGATCCCAAGCCAAGACAATCCTAAGCAAAAAGAACAAAAGCTGGAGGCATCATGCAACCTGACCTCAAACTATACTACAAGACTACAGTAATCAAAACAGCATGGCACTGGTACCAAAACAGACGTATAGAGCAAGAGAACAGAACAGAGACCTCAGAATTAATGTTACACATCTACAACCATCTGATCTTTGACAAACCTGACAAAAACAAGCAATGGGGAAAGAATCCCCTATTCAATAAATGGTGCTGGGAAAACTGGCTAGCCGTATGCAGAAAACTGAAACTGGACACCCTCCTTACACCTTATACAAAAATTAACTCAAGAGGGATTAAAGACTTAAATGTAAAACTCAAAACCATAAAAAACTGTAGAAGAAAAGCTAGGCAATACCATTCAGGACATAGGCATGGGCAAAGACTTCATAGAGCAAACACCAAAAGCAATTGCAACAAAAGCCAAAATTGACAAATGGGATCTAAATAAACTAAAGAACTTCTGCACAGCAAAAGAAACTATCATCAGAGTAAATAGGCATCCTACAGAATGGGAGAAAATGTTTGCAATCTATGCATCTGACAAAGGGCTAATATTCAGAATCTAAAAGGAACTTAAACAACTTTACAAGAAAAAAAAAAAACCCCATCAAAAAGTGGGCAAAGGATATGAACAGGCACTTCTCAAAAGAAGATATTTATGCAGCTAAGAAACATATGATAAAAAGTTCAACATCACTTATCATTAGAGAAATGCAAATCAAAACTGCAATGAGATACCATCTCACACCAGTCAGACTGGCAATTATTAAGAAGAATAGATACTGGAGAGGCTGTGGAGAGATAGGAATGCTTTTATACTGTTAGTGGGAATGTAAATTAGTTCAACCATGGTGGAAGACAGTATGGCGATTTGTCAAGGATTTAGAACCAGAAATACAGTTTGACCCAGCAATCCCATTACTAGATATATATCAAAGGAATATAAATCATTATACTATAAAGACACTTGCACACATATGTTTATTGCAGCACTATTTACAATAGCAAAGACATGGAACCAACCTAAATGTCCATCAATGATAGATTGGATAACGAAAATGTGGTACATATATACCATGGAATGCTATGCAGCTGTAAAAAGGAATGAGATAATGTCCTTTGCAGGGACATAGATGAAGCTGGAGCCACCGTCCTCAGCAAACTAACAAAGGAGCAGAAAACCAAACACCACATGTTCTCACTCAGAAGTGGGAGTTGAACAATGAGAACACATGGACACAGGGAGGGGAGTAACACACACAACAGGGCCCATTGAGGGGTTGGGGGTGAGGGGAGGGTACTTAGAGAATAGGTCAATTGGTGCAGGAAACCACCATGGCACGTGTATACCTATGCAAAGAACCTGCATGTTCTGCACATGTATCCCAGAACTTAAAGTAAAATTTTTTAGAAAAGGAAAAAAAAATAAGAAAAAAAAGAAAAGATAATAACAAATGTTGGAGAGGATGTTGAGAAATTATATATCTATACACCGTTGGAGGGATTGTAAAATGGTGTAATCATTTTGGAAAATAGTTTGACAATTCCTCAAATGAATAAATAGAGAGTTACCGTATGACATAGCAATTTTTCTCCTAGGTAAATACCCAAAGAAATGAAAATATATGTCCAAACCAAAACCTGTACATAGATACTTATAGAGGTATTATTCTTAATAAACAAACAACTCAAATTTACCTCAATGGATAAATGGATAAATAAATGAGGGATACCCACACAAATGGGGTATGTTCACCAGTATTATGAAAAGTAAGGAGGTACTGCTGCATACTACAATAGGAATGAACCTTGAAAACATTATTCTAAGTGAAAGAAGCCAGTCACAAAAGACATATTATGATTTCAGTCATATTAAATATCTATAGTAGGAAAATCAATAGAGACAGAAAGTATATTAGTGTTTGCTTAAGTAATGTGGGGTGGGGGAAGAGGATGATAAAAAAAGTAGTATTGAGTTTCTTTTTAATGTGATAAAAATCTTCTAAAACTGATTGTGATGATGGTTGTATAGTTCTGTTAATAAGTTAAAAGCCATTGAACTATAACAATTTAAATGGGTAATTTGTATGGTATATAAATTAAATCTCAATAAAGCTGTTAGAAAATACAATAGAAAATGAAGTAAATTCACATTCGTCTCCACAAAGGAGCCTGCCCCTCTTGTCAGGCCTCTAGAGTGAAAGACGAGTCAGTATGCTTTCAGTTGAGCTGGGTGCGGGTTTAGCTGCAGCTTTAGTTTTTGTAAGTTCACTATGGATTCAAATGTTTGAGGGCGGTACTGGGACTTGGTCTTCACTAGGGTCTTCAATCATTGATGAGATTCCAAAGTTCTGCTTGCTCCTCATAGCTAAATAGCCAGCTTTCTAAACCGTGAGAGATTTCTCCTTGCTTTACTCCCACAGCAGAACTTTTGTGTTATTAAAGAATTCTCTTTGCTCTCCAGTGCTGTCTCTCATCTTAGGAAATCTCTCTTTTCTCTTCTGCCTTGCCCTTGTCCTTTAGAAGTCAGCCAAAGATTCTCTCCACTCTGAAGGCAGAGATTGTCTTGGAGGGGTTTCACTCAGTTCTTCCACCTCATCTTGACTTCTGAGTTAAGCATGGAGTGCCAGGGGAAGAGTGTGGCTCTCTCAGCTCTCTTACCCCTCCTCCAATGTTCTGTAACTTCTGGAAGTTTCTCTCAATTTTTCCCCATCTCTATTTTCAGCACTCAGTAAAGATCAGAGGGAAAGAATTGGCAGTAGCACAGTTTTGTTCTGTGTCTGGGGCTCCAGTGGAATTTGACGTGTCATGCCAGCCCACACGCAGTCATTAGAAATGTCAGGTTGGGCTGGTTTCCCCTGCTCCCACCTATGGAGGATTGCTCCTTCTCCTTTCATGTCAGTTATAAGAGGTCTCCTTGGCCCTTCTTTCTTAGGAAGAGCTTGTCACTTGCTGGATTTTAGTTTATTTAGGTTGCTTTGCATTCTTTGCTCCCTGATATATATTTTTTTTAATCTATGATTATGTAGCTTTTCCAATGTTTGGGTTGAAAGGGTGAAATGATGATATTTTGCAGCTTCCAACATCTGAACTGGAAGTAAGACAACTACTGGAATTTGAGAGGTGAAAAGTAGGTTACAGAAAGGTTTTTGAGTATATATTGAGCATTTTCCAAGCTTTAAGTCCTATAAATAGTCTCTGAATGCCCAAGAAAACAAGCAAGCAAGAAAGTATCTAGACCTTGAATTTTCTCATCTCTGGTACTTCTATCTCTCCAAAAGATTTTCATAATTCAAGCATAATACTCACCTTCATATTTCAGGGCAAGTTATACAGAGAGATATGGCCACAGCCAAAGGAGGCTGTCAAAATTGTAGGAGTCAACTCATTCAGTCCTCTACAGTCATGTTGCATCTGTTCAGGCCATACACAAATGAGTTACCTCTGCCAGGAAGTGCTCAGTAAAGGGGGGATTGAGTCACATCTCTTGGTTATTGTGGTAGAAAATGTCCAGGCCCAATGATGAAATAAGAAATACAT
Source organism: Homo sapiens (assembly GCF_000001405.40). NCBI lineage: Eukaryota > Metazoa > Chordata > Mammalia > Primates > Hominidae > Homo > Homo sapiens. The sequence continues at coordinate 188,870,519 of NC_000002.12, forward strand.
CATGAAAGTATGTAACTTTCGTTGAGCAGGAAATTCCCTGTATGCTACAAGGAGAAATTGCCACATGGCCCTTTCTACATCACTCATAAAATACACAGTCCAATAGACTAGAGTCCTCTCATGTGGAAGATTTCTCACATCTCATGGTTTAAAATTTAAAATCAATACACATTAGGTGTTCTTCTATGAACCACAAAAGATAAAACAAGGAGCTGAGGTACCCACTTGTATCGTTGATATGGTGTATGTCTCAAGTGTAGGTTGTTCAGCTTATTTCTTGGATCATTAGTAAACCAAAGTGAAAACAATCATAAACAGTGTCCAAGGAGTCAATGTTCATATAAATCAGAGACTAATTAATAACAATAATAATAATAAATGCTTGTCGTATTTAGTATATTCCAGGTACTGTTTAATTCTTTAAGCTTTATTAAAAAAAAACACACAAAAAAAAACAAAAAAAATCCCCTTTGAGCTATGTACTATTGTTATCTCCATTTTATAGATGAGCAGATGGAGGCAAAGTGGTCAAGGAACTTGCTGAAGCCACAAGTAATGATTTGTTACATCTACAGCTCACAGGAAGAAAATGGAATCATGTTACTATTCAATTGCAACTTAGTCACTAATTAAACTTATTATTATTATTATTTGACGTTGTTTATTATGATAATGCTAATGAAAATGGGGTGGATATTCTGACAATGTACTAAATAGAACCATTTTTTAAACTGTTCATTTATATTATGAAAAATTCACTCCTTTCTTTCTCTTCCACATCAACTTTACCTGTATTCTTAAGTGAAAGGAAGATGTCCATGAAATATAGACAACCAAAGTAACATGGGAAAAAAGCCAAATACTGTAAATCTTTAAGTTTCTTATCCTCACTCTCTGAAAACACATGTAGATTATTCAATACTGCTTTTTTCTTTTTACAAATGTGTCTTTCAAATATTAGAACGGTGCTGTGAACTAAGCAAATCTCTCCAACAGTATGTTATATCCATAAAGCACATGTCGAGACCCACTTCAGGGATAACTAATACTGTATCAATTTGGGCTACGCTTATCAGTAAGAAACACTTCCCCAAATCAGGATTTAGCCAAAGATAGATTCTAATTGCCAGAATGCTCCTGCCCCCAATCATTTTTGAGTTGAAAAATCTGAACTTCTTTTGGTTGGAACTAACATGGGTGCAATACAAGTGAAGCAGAGAAAAAAAAAAGAAAAACTTTGGAGCAAAAAGCATGAGACAACTGATAACTCTGAGTGATGGTTCAAAAAGAATAAACTAATTTATATTTCGTTTGATGTGTGTTTGAAATCAAAGGGCTGTGATAAGACAAAACATGATAAAAGGAAGAAAAAAGCAATGACCATATGTGTACGTTCCCTTTAAAACAAAGTATGTACCAATCAACAATAAAGTAATTAGCAATTAGAGTAAAAGGGTGGTTAAAAAAAGACTAAATTCTACCTGAGGTACCATAACAGTAAAAATTTGCTAAAAGCTAGCAATTTAAAATTCTTCATAATTTCTCAATGAATGTCTGTTTTCTGATACGCGTATTGCCATTCTGTCTTATCTAATCAAGTTTATACCTGGCTACTAGAATAACCTAACTTTAAGAACATAAATACACAGTAACATGCTTTATGTCTTATCAAAATCACTCCAACTTAGGTATTATATTTTCCAACTAATTCCCTCATTTTCTTATATTCTGCTGCCTTGTTTGTCTGTTTGTTTGTTCAACTCATCTCAATTTTGGCATTTTCATGTTACGTTGAAATAGCATAGAAATAGTCTTGTCCAGCCTCCACTTAATTTGCTGCATGAATGAGCCTGGCCTTCAGGCCCTCTGTAAAAGTGAACAGCTTGAGGCTAATAGGTCAATTTTCACTACAGCCAGATGCCTTTGCTTTCAAAGCTCACTTGTAGGCTGAACATAAATTGGATATATTTGTTCCAAAACAATATATGACAGTTGTACCTGGTATTGTACTTATTCACTTTAGCAAATATTGCAAAAACTGGTAAAATATGATTGTAAAAATTATTTCTCTAAAAATTATGTTCACTATTTTATGATGGATACAAAAATACATCTGTGTTATAAAGTGTGATGAAACAAATGTAAACTCTGAGAAAATAATCATAAAAATTTAGAGGAATTCTACACTTAGATTTCTTTATATTAGTTTTTATATTCTTACTCAATTTAAAAAAATTCAAACTAGAAATCATAAATATTGTATTATGGATGTGATCTATATAAGACAGATGAGGCAGAGTTCAAAATCAGGTATCTATAATAAAAGAAAATGTCTTGCCCCTAGGTGAAAAGACTAAATAATTACTGTGGGTTCACATGCTTTACATGAACATACATTGTTTAATGTACACTAACAGTATTATTAGTGATTTTTCTGCCTTAACCCACTTGCTTCAATTGAGCAACTAACTACAAGTTATGATCACATTAGATAAGAACATTTTACCATATGTTTTACTTCTATATTCCCCCACAGTAGATGGAAATTTTTGATGGCAAGACCCCTTCCTTATACATTTTGGAGCCTGGGAATAAGACTGCATGTATCATCTGAGAGATACTGTGTAATACTTGACATCTTATCGTTTTAGGATGCAGCATAACTATGCCTTCTCAAACCAGCCTGCTCTCATTGTTATGTTTAGGTGGATGTGTTGCCCACACCCCATTTATTCTCTATTAGTGAACCCTATTTATTTTCCTTTATTAATAATGTATAAAAATGTGTAATTCTGTAAGTAGTAGCTATGGCCACTGCCTATTAAGCTTCATGAAACCACTGTTCACATTTTTCCAATTCACTTACAGAACTTAGTGACCACCATATCATAGGTGTTCAATAAATAGTCACAGAATTAAATTAACTCATTTCTTTTCTGCTCTGCACAAGCCACAGGCTATCTATCTCCCAAAGAGGCCATGATTCCTATTCAGGGTCTCATTGTGTGTGGTTACTTATATTTAAGTTAAGGAGCTCCATCTGAAAGTTAGCTATCATTGATTGCTAATTATATTTCTTCCTTCAAAAATCTCTTATCTCACTTTTCTGCTAATTCATGCTCGTCATCTCTTTCGGGACAAGTTTTAAAACCCACTACTACAGGAAACTTCTTAGCTCTGCTACCCTCTTCAATTCACAGTATGCTTTTACTCTACTTCCCCTCAGCACATGTAAAGTTCCTTCTACTTTGAAATTAAATAAATATTTATAAATAGTTATGAAATATTTATTTAGAGTTTGAGTTTAGATTTGTGTTATGTATATATATTTCAAATAATGAGTATAAATATATATATTACAAATTTTAGAATATCTTCTCCCCCACTTCATCTATGTATACATTGTACCTACATATGTATATATGTATACATGCATATATATATCCATTCTCTAATTACTATGGATGCATACTGGGCAAAATAATTATCCAAAATATATTTTTTAATTTTTTTATTTTACAAATTTGTTTTACCCCTAAAATAAATTCACAATTAATCATTTAAATTACAGTATTTCCAGTTGTGAATTTGACAAATCTTTCATGAAGCATTCAGCTATATAAAAGAAACACCATATAGTAAAAAATATAATCAATGGCTTATTCATTCCATCAACTAGCACAAATTCATAAAGCATAACCACATGTGGAGTGCTCTGCAACCAGTCTTTTCACTGGGTTCTTAATTGAACGAGACTCACTTTTCCCCACTTGTTTTTTATGCCATTTAGAAAACTATATAATAATGGCCAGGCATGGTGGCTCACGCCTATAACCCCAGCACTTTGGGAGGCCAAGGTGGGAGTATTATTTGAGGTCAGGAGTTCGAGACCAGCCTGGCCAACATGGTGAAACCTCACCTCTATCAAAAACATAAAAAATTAGCCAGGTGTGATGGTGCGCACCTGTAATCCCAGCTACTCAGGAGCCTGGCTGACAGAGTGAGACTCTGTCTCAAAAAAATAAATAAATAAAAATAATAAAAAAAATATAATAAGTACATATAATTTTTATTCATCTGTTTCAATGATTTAAAAATTATATTATCAGAGCAGCTGGCCTCAAGGTGAGTATCATTAAATGTAGATATATTCTATTCAGAAGTATAAAGAATAGAGATCATCTTGGAAATGGAACTGACCCTAAATGCAAGCAGCTGTTTTCCAGAATTCTATGTTCCTAGAAATGAGTAATGACTGTATGGATTTCAAGTATAGATAAACTGACAAATTTCCACATGTAAATTTTCCAGTGCAAGGGAGGATATTTTTAAAAATATTAATGTTCTTCTCTTTTATATATTGATTGTACCTAACCTTATCCCTTGAAACAGATAAGATTCTTAGAGCAAGAATGCTCTAAGATAGTGTTTTTTGTTTCTTACATTAAAAGAATTTTGCAGTAAAGCATTGTTGGCAGAGAAAGGATTTTCTAAATTCCTCCTTCATCTATGCCTCCCCGACCTTATACCTCTCAAGAGTAAGACTTGTTTGATTATCTCACAGAATTATATATAAGGAAGGTTCAGAAAGTAAGAGAAATGAGGGAAATATATTTTCTACCAGCCCTAAGGAATCCTGGGGAAAGAATGAGAACAAGAAGAAAGACAGTAGATGTGAAGTTCTTATTTTGTTTCTCCTTCTTTCTTGGTGACCCTAGGGTTGACGGTGGGTGAAATGTTTACAAATATCAAGGTAAGGGAAAACGAAAGGTAGAAGGCTTTTGCTGGGCTCCCGCTTCACAGTAAAATGGCTTCCCGCACAGCTGCAGCCAGGCCAAAAATTAAACTTAGTAGTGATTTGTGTGGTCAGACAGAAAAGTCTCTGATATTTAGCCTTCCTGAATGGAATGAATGGGAGCAAGAAGCAGATGATAGTCCGGAAGGGCAGATCGCAAGAGGAGACCTTCAGCAGAGTGAGGGACAGAAGTCAAGAAGGGAATCATCTGAATCAAAGTCAAATGGGAGTCACAGCCAGGTTTAACAAGTTCTGCAGGCTGGAAAAGCTGAAGTAAAGCTCACTCAGCTCGGGAGGACTATGTGTCCCGGGCTAAGACAAGAGAGATCAAAACACAATTCACAGCAGACATTGACTTGTTCAAGCAAATGTCAGGCAAGCCAGAGCCATTTAGAATCCAGAAGATCCAGAGGACATAATGAAGATCTGAGGATCCCCCCTCCGTCAATGCCAAAAGTTTACATAAGTCTCTTGCTCCCATATCAAAATTTTGTCTTAAGGAAGAGCAGAGTTGGGGATGGGAGTATGAAGGAAACCATTTAAAATAATCAGACTGAGTTTGCCAATAGAACTAAAAATTAGATAGTTTTGTTTACCTCTTCTTTACCAACACGTGAGGAAGACAATATCTATTTTTGGCCAAAGGAAAATGCTAAAGATGTTCTGTGTATCTGAGTGGTATTGTGCATAAATTATGTCCTCAATATATTAATTTAGGGAGATGTACGATGTGATGATATGACTTTAAATAAATTTGGATCTACTGCTACACAACAGTTAGTTCTTTATCCATATGTGAAATAAAATAATAATTACTAATAATAACACATGGCTAACATCACTTTTTTAAGATGGTCCCAAATTAATTACATGTTATTTTCATTTATTCTTCGCAATAATCTGGTTAGGGTACTCTTATTATTCCCATCTTTACAGATAAAAAAATAAAAAATAAAAATGCAGAGAATGGTTATATCATTTGTGAAAGTTGTAGAGCCAGGATTTCCACCCAGGCATTCTGACTCCAAAGCTTGCTTTTTAAATCACTGGCTATGAGACTCAATGATTTTATTACAGTGTTCACTTTTATCTAAATTTGTGGGCAATGTGTTGCTTGGCACCAAGTAGAGAAATGTGTGGATAAATAAAACAATTTTTTACTGAGTTGCTCATGTCCACATTCTAACATGGCAAATAGATTTTGGGTTGTTTCTACATGACATTAAAGAAATATTGAACTTACTTAAACTAAATGAGTTAGAAATTCCTCTGTTGGAATTCCAGTGCCTTTATTGCCCTGTTTACCATTCCATGTTTTAACTGAGGACATCCATTTAAGTTATGAAGTGGAGACTCTTAATATAACAATTAATTTCAGGTAGCCTGTTTTTTTGTTATTCCTCTTACCACGGCATTTTCTTTCTTATTTTCTCCATTCTTTCAACTCATTCATTTGATCTCTATTCTCTCCATGTTTATCTTATCCTTGTCAGACTATTTAATCAGTTTCTTTTGGGGAGGGCTATTTTTCTTCACTAATCCTCTGCCCTCTTCTGTCAATGTTATACACACAACTATGACATAAAGAATATTAAAATAAGAGCTGGAGACTCCAAAAAGTAATTTGATGTTGGCTAACTCATTTCATTTTTCTAGGACTCAGTTTCCTTACCCAGAAAATAAAGAGATTAAACTAGAAAGTTTCTAAAATTTACTCCATATCAAGAATTCTTGATTAAGCTTGTTGAGCTTGCTATTTACATTTTACATAGAAGATAATTACTTTAGGCTGTGTCTACGTGATGCCAAATATTAAATTGATTTAATAATAAAAAACATTTAGCCCATCATCCAGATGTTTTGTGTTCAAAACACCAAACATCTGGAAGAACCGGCTCTTGAACTGATTTGACCTGACATTTTAAACACCACTGTGTAGGACCAGCCAATGAATACATTAGTTGAACTGATCATATCTAGTTTCCAATAAACATTTCAATATGTAAGTCAGGTACTTATGTCCAGTATCTGTTTTGGATTTGCAACTATGTTCTAACTTCTCAAGAGTCGATTGAAATTTGAATAAAATATTAGAAGCTTGGTGAACTTTGTTTACAGAAAGGTCCGTCTCGTTGAATGATCCTATGAATAGCCTATCTTGAACTTGAAGATGAGACAACCCTCCCTACAGGAGCTTTGATATGGATTTTGGAATCCTTAGAAGAATTAATACCAATGCTACTGTAATTCTATTTGTTATTCCATTAACTTATAGTGTCTATCTTCTATATACATTCATATCCACCTTTATTCCTTAGAGACACGGTTTGTTCATTCCTCTTGATCATTCCTTAGAGGTGATGAAGCACATTTGGTCACCATCCTCCTTATAAAAATAACTGAAGTACTTGAAGATGCTCCCCTTCAGGATATCATCTTCCAGATGAACTGTGTAGAGAACCTGTTTAGTTTTCAACTCAGAACTTATTTTGCCATTGTCAAAATGTAGAGTATGTTTGCTGGAATAAACAGAATGAAATGAATAATTATGATTGTATGATCATATGGCCTTAAGGTTATCGAAGGAACTTGGATAAAAATAATCATGAATGGAGACTCTTTTGAAGTGGAAAGAAAGTTCAGTTATGGTAAGTCACAGTAACAAAAGCTGCTATTTATTAATTACCTACTTGTACTATTGACATTAAAAAACAAAATAGCATCTTCATTACTTAAGACACAAAGTTTCAGAAGAAATTGTCCAGCCATACAAGAAGCTATCTGAACCAGAATTCAAACCCTGGTCTGTCTCTTTCCAAAACCTATGTGTTTTCCAATATACAATATTGTTGCTGTATCAAAAAGGGCCATTATCTCACACAAACCCCAAAGACTTATTTGAACTGTTTTGCAAAGTTATAAAAGATTATTTTATCATTGGGATATTTTACATAAAATCCAGATTTCCAACTTCTCTAGAAAAAGTTGCAATACCTAGCAACACTGAACTGACAATCAGTGAGTTAACAGTAAGTTGCAGCTGCCTCTGGCAAAATAGGCATATACTATCCCATTTGCATGAATCTTCACCATTCCCTATTACATTACTATTAATGTGTATGAATGTCTATTATTGTATCCAAATACTGAATAGTATGCCATTAAATCACTAGAGTATACCAGTGATTTAATACCCAGTCTAATTAGCTTATTTAAGTTACATGCATAGCGTCATTTATATGCATGTGAAAACACCTAAATATTAAAACAAATGTGGGAGAAGAACCCAGAGTTGAAAAACTAAACAAATTTAAATGATGTTTTCACTTATTTACTGTTACGTTAATGGATGTGGTGAGAATCTCTCTTTAGTCGTGAAGAGAGATATATCTATGATTTTCAGTCTGTTGGATAAATAACTGTGCCCAAATTAACATTCATGTAAATGGTGAGGCAAATGTATCAAGGACATGACATGATTTATACACCAAAAAATGTGACACATAGGCAGTGTTTTTGCCACAACATCCAGATGGAATACATGACATGATCTAAAAGATGGAAATCTTTCCATTCAAAAAAATGTGATCACAGAGCCAACATGCTCTTTCTCCTCTATAAGGTTATGACATATATACATCTGTCACCCAGCTGTGTAATTCAGATTTGCTAAAAATAAGAGATGATATTTTCAAATAAACAAAGCTTACCATTAATTTTTTGGACAAAAGTTTTGAGTCTGACAAATTCCATATCAGATGCCAAGTCTTATCCTTTCAGTCTGTCATGGTTTTACCATGAATCCAGAAGGGTTAAATGCCATCATATATTAAGAAATGTTGTTTTCCAGTATTTCTCTAATAGTCCTTGTAAAAACATAGTCTCATAAATACTTGGCAGAAAAGTCCAGTTATAGGAAATAGTAGCATCGCATACTTGAGCTTGCATAGTTTTTAAGAGGCAAAATTGTTGATTGGAACACTCAGAAAAAGACAAAAGGAATAATGCATGGTATTTTGCTGATATTTTATGTATTTATTTGTTTAATGAATATTTACTGTGTACTTACTCTGTGCTAGACACTGGGCCAGGCATGGTACATACCATATTTTAAAAAACACAAAACAGCTAGACATTATCCTTGCTCTCAGGCAGCTTGCTCTTGAGTGGAAGGGAAAGCCTCTACAGAATCATATGTAAAAATATTCTCTGGCAAATGCTATGGAGATTTGACCTGGACGGGAGTGGACTCCTTGAGAAAATGAGGTTTTGAAATCTGAAAGGAAGAATAGGTGTTAAAAGGTGAAGAAACGAGAGGTGAACATGTTAAGCAGAGCAAACAGCATTTACAAAAGGCCTATAGTGGGGTGCAGCATAGTGAGTACGAAGGGACCAAAGAATTTCATTATGGCTGGACAGAGAGCAGAGCTGAGTGTGAGATGAGGCCTGGGACGTGGAGAGAAGCCAGGCTATGCAGGACTTTGTTTGTCATGTTAGACAGCTGGTCTTCAATAAATGGGAAGCTACTGAAGAGTTTAGGTGGAAAATAGACTGATTTGTGTTATGAAAAGATCACTCTGACTGCCATATGAAGAAGTGATTTGATGGAGGCCAGAATAAATGTAGGTAGACAAGCTAGTATACTTCTGTAGTAAGTACGTGTATTAGTTATTTATGTCTGCATACCAAATGACCCCAAAACTTAATGGCTTAAAACAATAAACACTTATTATGTCACAGATTTTGTGGGTCATGACTCTGGGCAGGGCTTAATTGGGTTCTCTGGCTGTAACTCTCTCACAAGTTTACAATCAAGGTGTCGTCCAGAGCTGCTGTTATCTCAAGGCTTGACTGCAGGAGTATCTACTTCCTTGCTCACTCAAGTGGTAGTTGGCAGCATTCAGTTCCTCGTGGGTTCTTGGATGAAAGCCTCAGTTTCCTTGTGGGCCATGGCCAGAGGTCTCCCTCAGCTCCTTGCCACTTGGGCCTCTCCAAAGGCTCACAATGTGACAGCCGAGTTTCATCAGAATAAGCAAGGAGAGAGCAAGGGAATGAGAGCATGGCAGCGACCCTAATCTCAAAAACGCCATTCCATCACTTTGACCATATTCTCTTTATTAGTATTTAGGTCCAGCTGGCACTAGAAAGTAGGAGATTATACAAGTATTTGAATACTAGAAGTCAGAGACTCTTTGAAGATCTTAAAAGATAATGATACCCTGGATTATGAAGAGATACAGAAAAATATGTGGATTCAAGACATATATATTTAGAAAAAAATCAAATGAATTTGTTGATAGATGATTGTGGGATAAATTGTATCTCCCCCAAAATTCATGTTAAAGTCTTAACCCCCAGTACCTCAGAATGTGACTGTATTTGGTGATAAGACTTTTAAAAGGATGATTAAATTATTTACAGCTGTTAGGGTGGGATCTAATCTACTCTGATTGATGTCCTTATAAAAAGAGGAAATTCAGACACACAAAGAGACACCAGAACTGTGTGTATAGACAGGAAAGATCTTGTGAGGACACAGTGAGATGCTGACCATCTGCAAACCAAGGAGAGAGGGCTCAGGAAAAACCAAACTGAGACACATTGAGACTTGACTTCTAGCCTCCATAACTGTGACAAAACAAATTCCTGATGTTTAAGCTGCCCATTCTGTGGTATTTTGTTATAGGAGTCCTAGCCAACTAATACAACTGTTAACTCTGAGGGATGAGGGAAATAGAAATATCAACAATTTTTGTCAGGCTGTTTAGTTTAACTGGATCAATAGTGATGCCTTGCTCTAACAGGAAATACTAAAAGAGGATCAAGGTTAGGCAGATCATTTTTTCTTTAATTAAAAATATTCATTGTTCACCCACTGTTACTAGACACTTCTAGACACCAGGATAGAAAAGAGACAAAGCAAGCAGTCACTGACTTCATGGAGCTTATATCCCATGTAATGTGTGGGTCTGTTGTTCCAAACAGAGATCTGAGGTAGAGATAGATGCATTAGTAAGTGTTCTCCAGAGAAGCAGAACTAACAGGAGATAGATTAGATGGATGATTGATAAATAGATAGATAGATAGATAGATAGATAGATAGATAGATAGATAGATATACAATTGTTTCACAAAAGCCAAGGGAAGACAGGGTTTCAGAGACGAGGCAGTAGTCAACAGAATGGAACACTGGTGGGAGCACAAGTGAAATGAGGGGTGAAAAATTTGTGTTGGAATTGGTGTCATGGAGGTCAGTTGTAAGCTAGGTAAAAGCTGGATGGGTAGAGGGTCAAGACTGAAGAATGTGCTGAGTAGATAGTAAAAAGTGATGACATGTAAAAAGGGAGAACAGTCATCTTTTCCAAAAAATGTATGTGTGGATGGGCAGAGAGAAGGAGATGGTTGACTGAATGAGAAGAGGGTAAATCTACACACAAAAGAAGAAGTTTAATAAATCATGTGGGGCTGCTGAGAATAAAAACATAAAACTCTAGTCACAGGTGATGGGAAGGATTGGCCCCAGGTAAGAGGGGGAGCCTCATTATGAGACGTAGGCAGCTTGGACATGTGGTTTCAGGAGAAGGCAATATGTATAGTGGTCAAAGGCATAGACTCAAATTAGAATCCTGAGTGAAAACCTGACTGTCGCTTGCTAGCTGTGTGACTGTGGGCAAAGTATTTAAATTATCTGTGCCTCTATAAACAGGTGATAGAAATAGCGCCATTTTCCTAGGGTAGTTGATATATGTAAATTTTAAAAACTAGTGCCAGGCATATGGTAAGCATTATGTATATATTTATCATTGCTATTATTACTATCTCTCTGAACTAGAAGTCAGATAATCAACTCATAGTGAGAGTGAATGGGGGTGGGGGTTAGGGTTTGATGTAGGTAGAGAGGGTTAGAGAAGGAAATGCTGAGAGTAGGAAAGTAGTACAGAGATGCTGTAGTTGAATTGTCTAGTAATGTTGAATGTCCTTTCAAGGTTGGGATTATGAATTTGTCATAGACCCAGGTTGTTCTGTCATGTGAATATTCCAGCAGTGCTTAGCCATTTGGAAACAGAAGCAGAGAAAGTAGATATCTGAATACAATTAGATTGAGTTTTGCCAGATAGACTTTTAACACCAAGAGAGAGTAGGGCAAGGGAGTTTGAAAATGTTGGCAGAAAACTGTGTTTCATGGACTGGATAAGTCCTGGATAAGGCTGGATAAAGAAGGACATGAAGGAAAGAGCTGGAGGTTGAATTTGGACACAGTAGAGGAGGCTCATAAGACAAGTATTATGACCATACATCATAATACCACATCTGGCTTGTCAAGATGACTATCTATTAACTATAATTTAAACCCAACATGTATCAGTTAAAATAGGATTTGGTGTGATCTAAATAAGCAGTAGTAGTGCAAGGTAGAATAATTTAGTGTGTCTTAGTCTGCTAAGAAATAGTAAGTAAAAGTACACCAGTCGATTACATGAAAGCCCATTAGGTGATATCTTTAGGACAGAATCCCTTTATCAAGATATTATATGAGAGAAGAAAAAGAAAATGATAAGTTAGCATTACTTCCCACAGGCAGTGTAACTTGCTGGATGAAAAGAGTGTAGTAATTGAGGAAGATTTTTGAAAAGGCAGGGGGTAGAAGAGAATTCACTCAATTTGCATTGTTTCTTAGTGAAACATAGGGTTTTAAAATGGCTCTCAATGTTACTACTCAAAAGAAAAAAGTCATACCTTGGCTTGATATGCTGAGATCCTTTGAATGAGTGATGTAGTCGAGCTAATATGACTGTAATTTTCTCTCTAACTTCTGAGACCCTTGAGAAATTCCCTATGTGATCTCAAATCAATTATTTCATTGCATGCTAAAGATTAAAATAATAAAGAAGAACAATTATTTTCCTCTTGGAAGAACAAAGATTTACATACATAATTTGGAGTGCTCTAGATAGGATGCTAAAATCTGAGCCAGACTTTGGATTCTTTTAGGAAAACCAAACTTTAAAGTGTTACAGCTTTAAATTTCATAAAGCCTGAAAATTCTCAACGCCATTACCTGTTAAGGATTTTCCATAATAATATTGAATATATAATAAAAACTCACAATTATTATTCAGAGACATTATGTAGAAATAACTGAAATATATATTTGTGTCCAGAGGATTCATTCACGTATTGTTAAGGACTAAGAAGGTTTTGTGAAGCCTAGAAGAACAATATTGCATCTAACAAAACAGGTCAGTGTGAAGTTGCTTTATTGCCAGGACAAGGCAACATCCCAGTAGCCATTTTAGATCAGAGGATGAAGAAATAAATGGGCTCAAGACACAAAAGGCTTGCGAGAATACCATTTCCTCAGGGAGGGAAAAAGGGTTAGAGAAAGATATAAAGGGTCAAAAATATTTTTAAATTTATGCTAATGTTAAATAATTAAATTTAATTCTAACATTACTTAGCACATTCAGCAGATGATATGAAACGAGAAAAGATGCAATTGCACAAATCAGCAAATGGATCCCTTGCTTAGTTAAATGTTTTAGCAATCGGTTCAGTTGGAATACAGTGGTTAATTAGAGTAGATTCTGGCTAGAAACCCAGTCACCAAGTCTCATCTTGGTTTTTATAATAACCATGGGCAAGAGTTCAGCCTCTCTAAGCCAGTTTCCCCACCTATAAGAAGCACTTAAATTTAATTGATTTCTGTTACTCTTTTCAGCTCTAAGTTCTGTGACTGTTTCTGGGGCTCCAGTTTTCTTGATCAGCTGCAGCAACACTCCCAGCTTAATAACTTAGAGGTATTCACAAGCGCAAGATTATCTGTTACTTGTTGGAGATAGAATCCAAGAAAGGCTTAATTTCATGATTTTAAAGAGACCCAAGGAAGTGTATTTCCTCCATGTGGTTTTGGTTTAGGAAAATGTAAAGTACAACTCTGACTCAACTTGTGGGTGGTCAAATGGGGGGAAAGTAAACACAGGCTAGTTCTGTAATATGTTAGGGCATTGCAACTTTGTGTTTGTAGAAGCAGCCTGAGAAAAGATAAACAAACAAATGCTCAAATCAAGTGAAAAAAGAAAGCTTTTTGTTAGATCCAGCTATAAACACTTGGAATACACTGCTTCATAAAATGGAGAAAGCTAAGATGTCAGTCTGATTATTTTACCATTCTCCTCCACTCCCATCACCCAAACAAATATACACACAAAGAATCCACCTAAAAATTATCTTTGCAGCATTAATAATCTGCAATTTAATGTCAAGTAAACCAAAATCCCATTTTACAAAGTTCTTGGTCACGGTTTTTAATATGTATTTTATCCTAACATTTTTAAACTATATGTTATTTTTATATGATAGAATGTAACAGAGAGTGGCAGAGGCCCACATAGAACCTACATGTTTATTCAAAAGGAGTCACATTATTACGACATTGAAGCTTGTCTGGAGAAAATGTAATGGAAAATTTGAGGGATATATTGCGAAAGTTTTCCCACTGACTTTTTTTTATAGAATATTGACTGTATACCTCTAAAAGATAAGATTTTGTTTCACATAGATTATATTATTTAAAATCTTACAAAATGTATTAGTTATCTAAACATAAAAAACATTAAAAATCAATTTAATGCCATCTTGCTAACTAATAAAGAAAAATCAATCTGTAAGGGAGTAAATCGCTAAGAAAATGCCCTCTTTGACATGATTTGTGATTGAGGAAGTGTATAGAGGATATGTGGTATTTCTCGTTTATAATGATTTCAATTAATTCAAATAACTTTTGAAAGGAAATTATTAGTGTAATTTTGGGATTATACATCAAATTCCATACTTGGAAGTGTTGGAAGTATTATTTTTATTACAAAGTTAGTTTTTATATTTTTTAAAAAACACCTCCTTTCATTATCAAATGTATCTGAAGAAAAAAATAGGATGCTGAAATCTTAAAATTAGAAAAAGCATTTTATTTGAGTCAGTTTACTTATTTTTCTTGCCGTTTTCTCTATGTATGTATAATATAACCATACTCATAGGTGTGTATAGATGAGGCTAATGCTAAGACAGGAGCTAAAATAACAAGACTCAAACCGCAGTTATTGGCCCATAGGTAGCTCATTTCTGTGCTGAGATTACTTAAAATGTCTAATTTCTATTTAAAAGTTCAGAAAATTAGCAATCTATTTTATTTTTAAAAGACGAATACTGGCCCAATGTAATCCCAGCACTTTGGGAGGCTGAGGCAGGTAGATCACCTGAGCTCAGCAGTTTGAGACCAGCCTGGCCAACATGGCGAAACCCCATCTCTACTAAAAATACAAAAATTAGCTGGGCGTGGCGGTGCACGCCAGCTATTCGGGGGCTGAGGCAGGAGAATTGCTCGAACCTGGGAGGTGGAGGTTGCAGTGAGCCGAGATTGTGCCACTGCACTCCAGCCTGGGCGACAGAGTAAGACTCTGTCTCAAAAAAAAAAAAAAAAAAAAATATTGGAGGTGGGGTGTTTGGGGGGGGACGTCCATCAACTTTCAACCCTTTAATTAATTAGCTAATAATGTTTTATTGTTTTACCATGCAAAAGGACATTGTGATTTGTAGTTAATTTCAAAGACATTTCTTTGAATTTAAGAAAGTTTGACTTTAAGCTTTTAAAATAATTTAGTCAGTCGATTCATTCCTTTGTCAACAAGAAGGAGGTAGGAGGGTCTTACACACTTTACTGTAAAAGAATCTGTGACATACAGGTAGATTATAAATTACTTTTGAAACATCCATTGCAATTTGCTTCTCTCTCTCTCTCTTTCTCTCTCCCTCCCTCTGTTTTTAGTATTGTATTGGTGCCACACGTGGTTGTGGTGTATTATTTTACTCTTTCAAAGTGATGTCTTTCATAGTTCTCAGATTTAAAGAGCTCTTAAAATGAAAAATCAATTATTTTAAATATTTAGTTGCTTGAACTTTTTTTCTCCTCCAGGTAAGCAGATAAAATGTGGAATGAATGGATTAATTTTTTTTGTATGACTTAGAACCACATGTGGTCTATGTGTATAGCTAGGAATCATGCATTTTTATAAATGTAAAAAAAAGTCAAATTCAAATTTCTAAAATGAGAAGTTTAATTTTTCACCTAAAAGCCCTGTTATTAGATGGAAATTCTCTATATTGGCCAAAAAAAGCTTCCCATAACCACTGAATATATGTGTGGGTTGCATTTTGTTTGCGTTTTATTTCTACCTATACTTGAGGCAAACACAATAGTCTCAGAGATTTCTCAGCTATGGGGGAACATGCACTTATTCTACTTACAATTATTCATTGAGTGCCCATTATCTGCTAGTAACTGTATTAGCAAAATAGGAATAGAAAAATGAAACATATCTCTTGTAACTGATGACTTTTGTGGAAGAACTCTTAGCAAGCGAGATGCAATTAGTAGCTATCAGCAATTTAGCATATGTTAATTATTTGGTATTTGGTTTAGTTCAATATCAAATTTGGAAGGCACAGTGTATAGGAAAGTTTTGTCAGAGGTAGAAGAAGGGAGATCTGATGCATGGAATAGTGGATATAGGTGGAACATTGAGATAAGAACATCCAGTTGAAGCACAGGAGATTCAAATGGGGAGAAACTTCAAAACATAGAATATACTTAAATTTGGCCAGGCGTGGTGGCTCACACCTGTAATCCCAGCAGTTTGGGAGGTCCAGGCAGGCAGATAACTTGAGGTCAGCAGTTTGAGACCAGCCTGGCCAACATGAAAAAACCCTGTCTCTACTACAAATGCAAAAATTAGCTGGGCATGGTGGTGCATGCCTGTAGTCCCAGCTACTTGGGAGGCTGAGGCAGGAGAACAGGAGAATCACTTAAACCCAGGATATGGAGGTTGCAGTGACCCGAGATCACACCACTGCCCTCAAGCCTGGGTGACAGAGCAAGATTCTGTTAAAAAAAAAAAAAAAAGAAAAGAAAAGAAAAGAAAAGAAAAGAAACCTAAATTAAGTTCAGGGGAAGAGAAGAATAATACCAATAACATTTACTTTTATTTTAAACACACAGATTTTAATCACATATGATGTTCCATTGGACTCTCACACCAACCTCAGGATGTGTTATTATCTCTGTTTTACTGAGTACTGAGTCAAAACCCCAGATTCCAAGTGGTAAAGTGCCTTTTCCAAAATCACATCACATTAAGTGGAAGAATCAGGCCTGGAATACAAGTCTTCTTCCTACATGTCCATTTCTCTTCCCGCTACAATTACAGTAGCAACTTTTCAAGCATTATAATTTGACACACACCCAGGTCTATGTTTTTGATCTATCCAGAACAAGTAAACACAAAATCTTCTTTAAAAAAAAATGGCCACCAACTTCTGAGATTGTAAACATTTCAGCTCTTGCAATCCAATCTAATCTCTCTAGCTCTGTTTGTTTGTAATATTTGTACTTGCTAATATATGCTTAAAATCTAGGATTAGTAACTTTGAAATGTTTTTAGTAAAAAAAAGATTTCAGTTTGTCTAAAAGTAAGGAAAAAGATGACAAGTAAGGAAGTAAGGGAAAAGGAAAAGGGAAGACAGAAAGTTGTCTGCATTTTAGACTTGTCAAAATGAACAAAGCAAATGAAATATAGTAACAATATCAATTAATAATGACTCAAAGAACATTCAGTTGTATTTGGACGGATAAAAATACAAGATACATTGCAGTATTCTATCAGTAGTAGCTATTATTCAGTAGAGATGCATGAGATGCATTTTTTTCTGGTTGTAAGAAATGATATTTTTGCCTTCATAGTTCAAGAAAAAGAGGACTTTTATTACTGTTCAATGGGCATTTAGTAGTAAATGTCTTTGGAGAAAATACCCAATAATTATTAAATGAAGAGAACATCTCCAAGGAAGAAGAAAACACACAATTAAGAAACAAGATTAGACATGAAAGCTATTCTCACATGGCTAAAATAGAAGACATCTAAATTAAGGATGGGAGAAAAGAGGGATCATACCAATGACATTTATTTTTATTTAAAATGCACAAAAATTCTAACCACATATGATGTTCCATTGTACTTTCACACCAACCTCTAGATGTGCTCATCACCATTTACGAAAATCTGTCTTACAAAGAGAGATGTCAAACTGCATAGCTTTCTTTTACCTACAGTTTTTTATCATATACATTTTTTCATCTTCCAAATTTCAATATTTCTGTATCTTTTATTATGGATGTTTCTCTTGTAAGTAGTTCATAGTTAGATTTTGTTTTTTACCTAGTCTGACAATCATTGTGTTTTAATGTGAACATTTTTAGTCCACTCACGGTAAAAATATTTACTCTTGTTGCTGTTGCATGAAAAGTCAGCTGACTGTCTGGTTGTCACTAGTTGGAAAGGAATACGTCTTTTTGGCCACACTTAAACTTTGTCTTTGCCTTTGGTTTCTATTGTTTACATATTTGTTTTTTGGGATTTATTGCATTTCTTGAAATTGTGGATAGGTATCTGAGTCATGTTTTATTATATTCTTCCTTCCCTACTTCACCATAGCTTAGCTGACAATGGACAGAGTATATGTCTCCACCTCACTGATAATGAGCTACATAATGTGCTTTGGTCAGTGGAATGTAGAAGTGAGAATATGTCAGTACCTAGCCAAGACCCTATGGAATACCTGATGTTTTTATTTTTCCCTCTTGTGCTAATACCAAAGACCACGGGAAGAGCATGTTTAAATCAGCTGCTAGTCCCAAAATGAGAGTCATTTAGAATAGTGACTGAACTTGATCCTCAACCAGTCTGATGAATTGTGAGCACAAAAATACTGGAAGTGAGTTTCTCTCTCCCTATACTCGACCTGATATTTCAGTTTCAGGGAAGTGTATAGAGGAGATATCAACTCAGGGAATCAGAGAAAGCCATGGGAGCACAGCCTTGTTTTATTGTAAGCTACTGAAATATGAGGGTTGTTTGTTATGTAGTATTATTGATGCAAGTTTCTGAGTAATGCAGTATCTTTTGTCAGTTCTGGAAAATTCAGAATCACTATGTCTTTGTTTTCCTTTTGTCTCGTTCTCTCTTGCACTTATACATATGTTAAACCTTTTCACAATTTACTCTCTTTTAGTCATAAATAGCATTTTTTCATCTTTTGATTATTATATGCTGTAATTTAGATAATTTCTTCTAACCTATATTCCATATCATGAACTCTATCTTTAACTTTTTAAATTTTCTTTTTAAAATATCTATTGGGCGGTGAAACCCTGTCTCTACTAAAAATACAAAAAATTAGCCGAGCACAGTGGCGGGCTCCTGTAGCCCCAGCTACTCGGGAGGCTGAGGCAGGAGAATGGTGTGAACCCAGGAGGCAGAGCTTGCAGTGAGCTGAGATAGGCCACTGCAGTCCAGCCTCGGCAAAAAAGCGAGACTCTGTCTCAAAAAAAAAAAAAAATTTCTATTGTGGCTTCTACATAATTTCAATTTGGTTCCTTTTCAAATATGGTTATATCACTTTAATAGATTTCTTACTCCCTATATATATCTTCAATCTTGTGTTTTTCCCCTTAACTGTAGTAAGGATATTATATTTTTCATCTGCATCTAATTACTTCATAATTTGAAGTCTTTGCAGTTGGTTTTTTATTCTCTTGTTTCTTCTGGTTTACATTTCTTTCCTCTGTGACAGGTTAGTTTATTACTGGTTATATTTTAGAAATGTTAAACTATGGAAAGGGTTCCTTTTTTGGGTGACAAGATTTGTGTTCTCTTATGAGATAACTGGCAGCACTACCCATCTGTCTGCACCTTAAACTATGCCAAAAGTTTAAACTCTTTGGACCACTGAAGGAGTAGAAACCTGTGTTGTAATTTCATGTAAGAACTAGTTCTCTTCTGGTTTATGTTCACCCAGAAAGTGTAGCCCTTAGAGTTCCAGATAATGTGAGAGTCTCCTGTTACACTCCCTGTCTATGTGTGCTCCCCACCTTTGAGTCCTATCCTCTTTATCATAAGGAAGTTTCTTTTATTTTCTAAATCAACAAATACCTACAGGACAAAGATAGCATATATGCTTGCTTGCTTCTTTGGTTTCAACTATTCCCCTGTTTTACCATTGGTAATTGGTTAAAATATTTTCATTTTCTTACTGTTTTAAAGAAGAAATTTTATTTTGCAAATATTTTACCCAGGTTTTAAATTGCTTTGAGGAGGATGATTGCTCTGAATAATCTATTCCATCATTATCAGAAACAGAGAGTCTCTTAGAGTTTTTCTAGGCCTTTCATTGCACTGCTCTGTTTTCCTGTTTAATTTCCCTTTCTTCTATCTGTTCTTTCCACCATCTTACATGTTTGTCCTAGAATCAATTCTGACCCAAATTTAAAGTATATTTTTAAAAATCTAGAACAGCATAAAGTTAGTGTTGCTATTAGTCTGACTTTAGTTGAGTCATCTTTTTTCCTTCCTATGTGAGAGATCATGTCTAGAAAGCCAGAAAAATTATCTAGCATGGTAGTGCAGCCTGCCATGCCCCGAGCCCTGCCTCAGTGGGCTCCCGCCCATCCCAAGCCTCCCCAACGGGCGCCGCACCCTGCTCCGCTGCACCCTGCTCCGTGGCACCCAGTCCCATCAACCCCTCAAGGCCTGAGGAGTGCAGGCACGTGGCACGGGACTGGCGGGCAGCTCCGCCCATGGCCCTGGCACGGGATCCACTAGGCAAAGGCAGCTGGGCTCCTGAGTCAGGTGGGGACTTGGAGAACTTTTATGTCTAGCTAGAGGATTGTATATGCACTAATCAGCACTCTGTGTCTAGTTTGGGGTTCGTGGATGCACTAATCAGCACTCTGTATCTAGCTAATCTGGTGGGGACTTGGAGAACCTTTATGTCTAGCTAAAGGATAGTAAATACACCAATCAGCACTCCGTGTCTAGCTCAAGGTTTGTAAACATACCAATCAGCACCCTGTGTCTAGCTCAAGGTTTGTAAATGCACCAATCAGTGCTCTGTGTCTAGCTAATCTAGTGGGGACTTGGAGAACTTTTATGTCTAGCTAAAGGATTGTAAATGCACCAATCAGCACTCTGTGTCTAGCTCAGGGATTGTAAACACACCAATCAGCACCCTGTCAAAATGGACCAATCAGCTCTCTGTAAAATGGACCAATCAGCAGAATGTAGGTGGGGCCAGTTAAGGAAATAAAGCAGGCTGCCCGAACCAGCAGCAGCAATCCCTCAGGTCCCCTTCTACACTATGGAAGCTTTGTTCTTTTGCTCTTTGCAATAAATCTTGCTGCTGCTCACTCTTTGGGTCCACACTGCCTTTATGAGCTGTAACACTCACCAGAAAGGTCTGCAGCTTCACTCCTGAGGCCAGCGAGACCATGAACACACCGGGAGGAATGAACAACTCTGGACAGGAGGAACAAACAACTCCAGATGCACTGCCTTAAGAGCTGTAACACTCACTGCGAAGGTCTGCAGCTTCACTCCTGAAGCCAGCGAGACCACGAACCCACCAGAAGGAAGAAACTCCAAACACGTCCGAACATCAGAAGGAACAAACTCCAGATACACCATCTTTAAGAACTGTAACACTCACTGCGAGGGTCCGCGGCTTCATTCTTGAAGTCAGTGAGACTAAGAACCCACCAATTTCGAACACAGTAGCACTGTCTTTCTTTTCCAGCTCCCTTTTTGTGTTACTGAAGTCCTTTCTCTGTTCCTCAAACCCCATGACCAATGTTATGTTTGCTTTTTGTTGTTGTTTCTTTTAAAAAAAACCTCTTATCTCTATATGTAAAATAACATATAAAAATACTACAGAAACCCTAGTTACAATGTTTTATTTGCCTCATGGAAATCTCAGTGCCACTTTTCAACCTCTTTGATACTGATTTCTAATCAAATCACCACCTTTCATCCCACTTTCTGGATGCCACCTTCTCCTCCTAACTTACTTTCTTCCATCTCCTGCAGTTAGCTATATGGCATATCCACAGCTTCCACCTCTTTTATGGACTGGGTGTATTTCCACATCCAGATCTCTCTTTGATGATGCTATTAGCTTCATGAACTTTTAAAAATAAACCTCCACGTCACAAGACATAACTACTCACCATTTACTATTGAAAGGCAGAGTAAAGGAAAAAAGATAAAAATTAATTGATTTGTTTGTATACACATTTTATTGAAGGAATGATGTTCAATGGTAAATAAACCAATAGAATTGGCAACAATTTTTAAAAATACATATCCTGTGTTCCATATCTGTTCCAAAAGTTCTGGTTCACCTCTTAACAACAGTTACACCCTGCTTTTAGCCTTTGAATGTTGATTGCATTGACAGGTTCTCTCTCTTTCTCTCTCTCAGTGAAATTTATTAAAGGCACTTCTCTCCATATTTTTGCTTACTTTTGCAACTTAACTCATGGAGGAAAGGTATCAGACATAAAATCTGAAATACAGCTGTGTTGTTTCAAAATGAATAATGTCTACTGGGTGAGACACTGAATCAAGGGCTTAGTTTGCAGCATAAGGAAAATATTTGTGAGTGTTGCTGGAAAAGCTGACAGCGTAGCATATGCAGCCTCCCTTTCAGATACAGAAACATGGGAAAGAGAGCAAAATGCTAATTTGGCTAGGAAAGCAAATGCAACTTTTGTAACCAAGTTAAAGGTAGCCATGAGAATCTCTATTTGATTACAAGTAACTTTCTTCTGTTCTTCCTTGTTTTAGAAAATAAAGCTATGAACTTCTAAAAAATTAAAACAAATCTCTGATATTCAGGGGGAATAGAATTCCTGGAAAAAGACAGTGAAAACATTCCTATTGCTCCACACAGAACATTATCTACAAAGTATGATAGACCTAAAGTTAATGAATTCACTAGCCATTGCTTCCACAAACATAAATCAGTAATATGATTTTTGCCTTGACTGAGGCAAAATGCCAATTAATTGAAGGTATATTTTCTAAAATGGTAATTTAAATAAAGTTTCTTTATTAAAAATGTGGGATTTTCATTCAGTTCAGCTCTCCCATGAAGCACCTTTATTAGAGAATTAATACTAAAAGCCAGAGACAGTAGTAATGACCTTTAGGGAAAAATGGATTTTAAAATATTAGGCAGTCTGCATTTTTAATTTGAATTTTAAAAACATGATCTAAATTAAAGCTACTGGAAAGAAATAGGTAGGTGTTAAGCTGGGTAGAAAGCTCAGTGTATTTGGTCAAGGGGTTTTCATTTGCTCTCAATGTTGAGCCAAATTTGTGCTAACATGTGAGCATGTATGAATATATAACTTGGATGTTTATGTGCCTTGATGTAATTGAAATAATACTTGAGTAGCAATCAGAACAGTCTATTTTTAAAAGCATCATAAACTGGCTGTGTAACTGGGAATAAAGAGAAAAACCCCTCTTTGCATGTTGAAGCTCTTTGAAAGCACTAAAAATATAATAACATAATGAATAGGTCATTGAAAGGGAAGACTAAACTTCTCCATAAATCCAAGTATTTTCCAGAGTTAATCAAGTATATATTGAGCTTTAGGCTTACATGACATGATCTTGCCGCAAGGAGATCTTCATCTTCATCTCCTTGTGGAAACAATACTGACACAAAAGCAGAAATCTAGAATAGACCATCTGTAAGGTTATTTTCAGCCTTTACATTCTAGGAAAATTCAAGATTAAAACGGTTTTCTACCTGCATGTGAACTAGGATTTCAGAATCAGAAAAGTTAGGAAAGGAGTACAGTGCACACAGAGTTAATGGAAGGAAAATGAGCTAATGAACTCTAGGGAGGCAACCATATTGCAGTATAAAACATTTTCTTGGCTTCTAAAGTAAGTATTGATTTAATAATGCAATAAATGAAGTAATAGGAAAAAAGAGAGCCAATATCAGTCAGTCGAAGTCTGCTAGCAAGCTGACAAATATGACCTCTTAACAATCCATTTGCATGAGCAAATAAGCACCATTATTAACAAAGTATAATACAGAGACATTTAAATGTAACAAATAAATTTTAGGAATGAATTGCAGTCATTACTAAAGATGATTAGGGTGTTAGATAGCTTTAAAAATTTATGAAGGGTCTGTTTATATGAAAAGCTTTAGTAGTCCATTTTGATTATTTCAGACAACTAGATTCATTGAAATATCATTTGTTAACAGTGCCTAAGATCGTGTTCAAAAATCAGTCATGTCTTATAGATGTGTTCTGAGGAAGTTTTTAAATCAATGTATTTGGCACAATATAAGAGACCTGAGCAAAAAAGGGGAGCAAGGAAAGAAAATGCAGTTTCTGATAGTTTCTGATGATTCAACTGGAACTAGTTAAATCCTTAGAGATTACCAATAAAAAGTCCTTTAGTCTTGCTTAAGATGGTTGCTTTTTAAATTTGTCAGACATATGTGAATTAAATTAAAACAATGATGAAATCAGGTAATACTGCCAGTAAATTTGCCCCCTGCCTCCCCTACCTCTAACTCCACTAAGAAAAAATGAGATAATGTTTTACAGAATAAAGAATTATGAACTAAAAAATTAGAAATACATATAAATACGATTTTCCTCTTTTCCTTCACCTAGGCAAATCAGAAAATAGTTTTATAATGTAAGATGTCAACAAATTAATATAGTTGCTTTGCAACCTTGTAAATTCAAAATACCAAATTCAATTAGACTCCTTTACCACTGTATAATCAGCTTGTTAGCCATTATTATCATAATAGATTCTTGACCAATTTTAAGTCATTAATATTACAATTTAAAACAGAATGTGGTACAGAATAAAATTTCTGAGATATTTCACAATTTATTAAAGTAGTTGTTACATGTGTAGACTAATGCTGACATGACTGATTTTCTTCTACACTAAATTATTTCAGAATTAGGTTGTCCAAGAAAGCAAAACCTCACATGTGTATAAAGAAAAAGACTAGTGGTGCTAGTATCTAAAACAGACTTGAAACCATTATTTAATTCATCTGTGCATGAAATTTTCAAGTAATGTTTTATTAGGAAAACTATTATTTTTCAATGTCTTCAAGTTAAGAAAAAGAAAATATGGGTTCTTTACAAAGTAACAAGTCATTTAACTCGTAAAAATAAAGAAGGAAGGAAAATTTTTTACAAGTAAATGTTCTCTATACTTTCTCCACAAAATAATACATGGGCTATACAGTTTGTTGCTATAAGAAAAATATTTGAGAACTAGTCAGTATTTACTAAAATATGTTGTATATAACATATTGTATAGAGTGATTTGAGTTTTCTTTACTTAAAAAAGCCTAACTAAACAATTTTTACCTCCTTTATAAGACATAAGGAATTTTAGAAAAAGAAGAAATAAATAAACAAGGAAGAGAAAGGAAAGAAAGAAGAAAAGGAGAAAAGAAATTCAAATATATACTTTTTCAATAGAGATGTTATCTTTTCATCTACCTACTCAATGTGTTTCCATCTTTAAATGATCTTTTTTCTGAGAACTATTTGTAGGATATAAGATCTTATAGAAAATAATCCAATTTTCTTAATACAGTAATTTTTAAATGCTATTGGACTAATGAATTAACTAAATAGTTGTCATTTCATAAGCATGGAAGCCCCTCAACTACAATAGTGGTATCATCTATAAAGCGATGTCTTTTACTTCTCATGGATGCAGAATCAAATTGATAAGACATTAATTCAACTAATAAATAGTATAGTTTTTTTTGTATGTGGGTTACAGTCGGATATTGCCAGTCTTGCTGTGATCCTATTTTGATATACTCTTGGGGTTTCTTTTTCCCCTAATGTGAGCATCTGATTTGTAGCACATCAGTAAAATTAACATATGCAGTTAAATTATACAGTAAGTACTAAGTCCATATTCCTCCTGCCTCAGGCCAGTGATCAATCAGATACTCTTCTTCAAGAACTTCAACCAAGAGCCCTGGAGAGAACAGGCTCAGAGTCACATTAACGATGGCACACCAGAGGGACAGTCCTTCAAACACCACTGCTCACTCACCTGGCTGAAATTATCACTGCTAGTGCAACCAGACATCCCTGGCATTCTTCTTGGTTATTCTATTTTTGTTCAAACTTTGTAAAACACCTAAGTACCGTTCCATAAACAATATATATTACTAAAAACCAGTTTTCTTGGTTTGAAAGAGAAGAATTACACAAGTATGAAGGAAACTGGAAACTATATACTTTAAAACCTAGGTTAGACTCTTAGAAACTTTCATATATGGATCTTCATGTTTTCTATTATAATATGGGCCTAGATATGTCTGTAGAAGAAAACCTATTGTCATTCATTGCATAAATTTTGTGTAAAGAGTATATTTTTTCTGTAAGAATTTTTTAATTTTTAGTCTATATAAATATAGCCAAAAATCTCATTAATTCTAAGACAAGAAAGTACTCATTGTCAACTAGAACCACAACATTCACAGCATCTTTTATTCTGTTTGTTATTTTGGAGAGTCAAATACCTAACATGACTTAAAAAGTTTTTTATTTTTGTTTAAAGCACATGTATCCTTCTCTTTCAACCAATATGCTTATCAAGAATCCAAATCAAGAGCTAAATCAAGCTGAATCAAGAAGCTAAATATTTGTGTTTGGTTTTGACTAATAATTAAAATAAATATAAATTTTAAAGTTAATGATATAGTGGAATTCTTACTAACTCCAGAAAATAAAACAAAAGTTATTGATACAGTGGAATTCTTACTAACTCCAGAAAATAAAACAAAACATGAAAACACACAGAAAAACAAAAAACTTGGATTGTTACATGACAGAATCATTCTCTGTGAGATCAATAGTTCCCACAGCTTCTACCAGGCAGGGTAAATGGTTTTAAAGGAGGATCGTGCTTAAATAAATATATTCTCAGCCACCCAATGGTTTGCTGATTTCTGAAGGGCCAGAAACACAGGCGAATGTTTGGCATCTCTGGTTTCTGACCTGGATTGAACTGGACATGCTGAAATAATGTGAGAAAAGACTGTTTTCTGGCTAGAACTGGAAGTATATCTGCCAGCATTCCTGTGAACATGCTTTTCTTCTGTCCAGCTTTGACTGTTTAAGAAGTCAAGTTATGTTAGACCTAGATTGTATTCCGAACTAGAGCTAGACTATAAAACTTTTTTGAGAATGATAGAAATGTTTAACCCAAATTTGTGAGGGCAGAGCATTTGGGAGTGATGAAATTTCCAAAAGTCAAAAACTTCTGATGAGTGAGAGAAATGAATTGTTAAAACATGTGTCAGTGGAAATGTCATCTTATCCAGGGAAGATGGCTTGAAAATACCTTTGCACCTAGTGTATAACCAAAGATCACTCCAGACAAAAAGCCCCCAGCAGAAGATTTTGAGATGTTAGGGATCGTCTATCACACCATGTTCAGTGGGAAGAAGAGGACACATTAATAGTTAAATCTCCATTTAAGCCAAAGCATGCTAAATTCGTATTACACTAATAGGTTATTTGAGATGGCCTAATTTTGTAATTTATAAATAACTTTAAACTTTATTATTCTTCAAATTGATCTCCGCCCACCAAACATTCCTTTTCATTTTTAGAGTTATGAATTTTCTAGTGGAGAACAAAGAGTGACTAATGACTAATCCGAGTTTGTATGCTGTTGTTAACATACTGAAAGTTTTTTTCTCCTACTTATTATTTTATCTTGTTCAAACATAACTTGATTCTCTTTTGGAATCATGAAATAGAGTTGGAAGGCTTCTTTAAGGGTCAAACATCCCAGAATATCCTTTGAGGAAAGGAGTGGCACATCATTCCCATGTTACACAAACAGTAGACTTTGCCTAGGCCTATGTCCTCAAGATCATCACAATTTGGGTCCATTTTTGCCTTTTCAGTCACCGGTAAAGAAGGAGAACAGCTAGCTTCTCTCCTTTGTATATTCATCTTTTATATACTTAGAGATCAGGCCCATCTCTCAGTGTTTAACGAAGACTAAACATGAAAAGGTTCTTTGGAACTTACTCATCACTTTTATTCCCAGTTAATTAATTATCATGTCGATGACCCCTGAAACTTTTCCAAATTTTTTTCCTCTTCAGTTGTAGGATTATAAGCGGGCACAAAAGTCTTGAAAGAACTCAGCCGTTACTGAAGAACATATGTTGAAAGTATTTTGTTACATTTCTTAAAGTTTATTGCACATTACCCTTTTTCTAAAATGAGGATAACACAGTTGACTCATATGCTCAAATTGGGTTTGTTATTTCACCCATTACCAGCCATGTTCTGTGAGTAGGCTGATAGTATATATTTTCCTCCCCATGTCCTCTATTTTCAGTCCTAGCCCCAGTTAAGAAGTTAAATATTTATGTTGGATTTTGACTAATAATCAATCTGATGTCCACAACCACCTCCTGTCTACATGTCTGTCTACATATGAAAGGTATTAAAATATTACCACTACCTATTGCAAAGATCCCAAAATTATCTAAATTTACTTCAATATTATCTAAACTATATTAAAGAGATAATTTTTAGTGGGAAACCACATTTGAGAATCAAATATGCAAGAATTAATTACCCTGTGACTATTGCTTCAAATCAAATTGGAATTAAACTTTCAAATGGGCTCTACTGCTAGATAAATAATTGTAATAAGTATGCAGAACTAACCTTCTTCAAGACTTGTTGTTTATCATATAACCTCTATCTTTAAAGCTAAATTAAAAATATCAGGGAATCTAAATGTACCCTTAATGAGGAAATCATTACTATTTACCTTGTTTTTTGTGGGGGGATATTTAATATTTCAATAATCCTATCAAATACTATTTTCTAAATAGCTGTGTTTGTTAAGAAAGATTTGGCAGCAATTAACACACTACCTCAATGACAGTGGCTTAAACCATAAAAATATGTATTGTTTTCTTAGTTTAAAACCCTCACAATCTCGGCCAGGGAGCTCAGTGATGTCAGCAAGAATCCAGGCTTATTCTTCCTGCTTTACCATGTTTTCATTTTTTTTGCATCTTCCAAGTTACAGGTGTCTGTCATAGCTCAAGGCAGGTTATAGTCATCTTCAGAGCAGGAAGAAGGGGAAATCTAACATTAGTCTCAAGACTATCTCTTTCACTGGGAAATAAATTTACTTTTTAGAACCACCTCCACTGAGCAGAATGTCTCTGTGATCACTTGGTTACTCCCACCTGCAAGAAGTCCAGAAAAATAATTTTCTATCAGATGAGAGTTAAAGTTACCATGATTGGCATAAACAAATCACAGCTCATTTAATGGGTTTGGCAGATTGCCTTATTTTCTAGAGATCAAGGGCTCTTAGACCACCACTTAAACAAAATGGGCTCCATTAGCAGGAAAAAAACATTTGGGGAGTGGCTTTCGGTAGGCAGCCAAAAGTGTCTAGCGTAGTAGCCATTCCCCTTGAGTATTATCGTGTGCTTAGACAGGCACCACAGATCACCAAACATCTTGGGAGAAATATGTTTCAGGAAATAACAAAAGATAGTTTTACCTAAAAGTATGGAGCCATGTAGAAGAGACAAAACTGTTCTTAGCTGAAGAAAGGCTGAAATGTAGAGATCAAAAGGGCTCACTCTGTCTTCAGGCCCCACGTCAATGTCTTACCTGAGGTGAGGGTTAATGGAGGACTGGGCTTATGCTGAGAAAGCCCTGGACCTACCGATCTCCCTCTGGCTCCTCTTTCCCCACAACGACCACACTGTTCCCACAGTTATGCCTGCCCTTACTCGCGCTAACACCTCTCGTCAATCCAACAAGATTGAAACGCGAGCAAGACTCATCCCAACCCAGCCTCAAAGAGACTCAAACAGCAGGTAGAGATGCCGAGAACACAAAGGACCGTGTTGTCAGCTGTAACAAAGGCATGAATGAATATATGAAATGGAGATAATAATAGTAAACTCCTCACAGAGCTGTTGCAAGGATTAAATAAAATAGTTACACATGATAAGAGCTAAATAAATATTGTAGTACTATAAAAAGGGTGGACTCATATATATGGAATAAAATTAATGGTGAATGGTCACTGCTTAGATACCACTGGTGAAATATTTGAGGTTCAAAGATAAACAATATCAAAGACTTCCATTAAAAAACAAAATAAATGTTACCTACACAAAAAGAAAAATAAGAATCATTTCTTATTACTCTTCTACCACATTAAATGCTAAAAGATACTGTAATATCTACTGCATTTTCAGGGAAAAGGTTTAAGAGCCAACCCAATTCTACTCACACAATAAAAACAATAGAAAGACAGTATCAAATACTCAAGGACTCAGATTAAAACCCACATAGTCTTCATGAAAAAAAAATTGTTCAAAACATACTTTAACTAAGAATAGCAGTCAGTGTCATCCTTTTAAAAACTAGGTCAAATCATGTAATTCTTTCTGCTCAGAACTGTCCAATCATCCCCATTCACCTAACAGGGGTCAACACAACAAGGACCAAAAAAATCTGGCTCCTATGACTTCTCTTACCTCATATCCAACTCCCCTCACCCTTGGCCATTCAGCTGCAGTCACAGTGACTTGAAAAGCTGGAGACATTCTCACCTCTGGGCTCTGAAGAAACAGTCCTTTCTTTCCCTCCTGTTATCTGAAAGACACTCTCTCATCTTCTTGCTCAAACATCTGTTCTTTCTGTGGACTCCTTGACCAATTGTTTATTTGAATATCCTCATCCCCAGTTCTATTTTCTCTCTTCTGGGCATTTCCAGTATGTGCTAGGATGTGAGTTCTCTGGGTTTTCCCTATCTAATAACTTGTTTCATCTTTTTTCCCTTTGCTGTGTGGTCTGGTCATTTTGCTCAATTTTATTTCCAATGTGCTAATTCTTTTTTTAATAGCTCTGGATTATTTTTAAATTATTTGCTGTGTATTTTTTATTTTAAAGAACTCTTCTTGGTCTATAATTACTCCTATTCTCCAATAACTTGTTCTTGACTTATGGATGATATATGTTCTCAAATATCTCGAAGGACACATTCAAATTTTAAAATTCTCTACTTTTTTTTATATCATTTCTATGTCTAAGATCTGCTAATCTGTTTGTCCACCTTGGTCTTTCTCTTACAGACTATTAGTATTCTTCAAATGCCTAGTTATTCTTGGTTATACATTCATATTTATTAACATAATTTTATATTACTCAGCATAAATTGCTATCATACTTTTTTTAGTAGTGTAAGTCTGTGTACCTGAATAGGAAGAGCTCATTGAGAGTTCCATGAAAGTTGATGGATTCTGTTGAAAATCAAGCTTTCCTTTATAGTGTATAAACTTGGAGTAGGGAAGATAGCTCAATAACTTCAAAAATGTCAAAATAAAATATGTTACTTGGCAGTAGAATAATTCTCCAAAATATTGTTCTGTTAGGTACCAGTTCTTCCCAGAACATTGTGGAAATATGGTTTCCTTTTAGGTTCTTCTTTACTTCATTCAACTCACTATACACTTTATGATTAACTCCTCTCCATGTCTATTAGTCACTCATTATAGAAGGTAATCATTGGGTTTCCATCTGTGAACTACTATTGTAGAATTCTGCTCAAACATATGTGGGAGAACGAGGAGCCACCTTAGACCACATATATTTCTGTGACTCTACTCAAGTCTACTCTTTTTTGGCCTTCCAGCTCCAAATTTATAATTTCTCTGAGGCTCAGCCAGGAAGAGCTTCTTCCTAATGTGTAGCTTCTTACTCCTATACCATTTCCAAACTATAACTTTTTTTTCACACATCTACTTTATCTATCAGTATATCCCTTCCCACTTTCGGAGTTCTACAAGTTTGTCCCATCTCTGGTTTGCTGGAGGAATCCTCTCTTGTTTACAGAATTCCCAAGGACTCACTCTGTTTTATATCTTTACTGCCATTCAACGGCAGTGGACAAACAGATTAGCAGATCTCAGACATAGAAATGATATCTGGACTAAAGTTTCATGACAAAGATGCCTATAAACCACCAAAGAAAAGGATGATCCTGATTCCAAACCAATTATTTAAACATGACATAAATTTTATGGAAAATAATCTATAAAATTTCATGGCCGAGACTTCTCTCAGTCTTATTTCAATACATGTCCTTATTCTGACTTTTCTGCCTTTGCTGATTTTCTTGATTTTACCCTTTGATTTGTTCTTTATTCTTTCCATTCCACCTCTCCTGCAAAGTCCTGTAAGAAAATAATTCAAGATGATACAGAAAGGAACATCTTCATTTCATTATGCTTTTCCTCCCTTAATAATCATCATGACTAGAGAATGACAGATGCAATTGGCCCAGGAGTCTGATACTAAAGCTGAGTTTTTGAGAACAAAAGTTAAAACATCAAAGCCAGTAGGACAAATGAGGAAGGCATAAATACGTGCATTTTCTAATTTAAAATGAATAAATAAAAATATTTTTCATTTTAAATTGATGAATCAAATAAAATTAGAATAAGAGAAAGTAGAATGTAATAGGATTATCCAGTTTGATGCAAATGTTAATTCATTAAATATCATTGTCTTTGTACTTGCCTTAGTAACTACTGAAACGTACTTATATTGATGATGGCTGTCACTTAAGGTCTCGTTTTATTAGATGGTGAAAAACCTCCTTTAGGAGGCTTTATAATTAGCATAGACGATCATCATCTGTTTTGGATGATTTTGGAGACAGAATTTTTAGGCCCCTTCCAGCTCTGATCCTGTGTCTGGGTCTAAACAAAATGAATCATTTCCAAACAATGTTCTCAAATGCACACATCAGCACTTCCTGGTGCTGCCTTGTCTGAGAGGCTCAACTACAAGCACAGACTTGTAAACAACCCTTTACTTCCCCTTATCCTACCACTTATCCCAAAACACATTTCTTGTTGTTTTCACAGTGTGCCCTGTTTCCACCTTCTCACACCTGCTTCTCTGCTCTGTCCTCACCCCGTCCACACACTGTACTCAAATACATATACCTACTGATTCTTTCCAGCTCATCAACTAATCCCTCATTTCCCTCCAAGTCAGACTGCCCAGCTGCAAGAGCATCATTAAATTATAGTTTATATGCTCTCCTTCTTGCTGTAATATGAAGTAAATAATTGTTCCAAAAAGTGTTTTTCTCTGGAAAAGTTTTCTCCTTTCAGAGACCCAAGTTTTTATAAAAATTTAAGGTAATTAAAAGTTTTGGACTTGGTAGAGAGAGACACTTGCTCACATTTGCACACAATGACCCACCATTAAGTAAAATTATTAAGTACAACACAATCCATCTTTAGTTATAAATTATACGGTTACTCAATCTCAGATATATATATACATATATATGCACATGCACATATAATTGCAAATATTTCTCAATAAAATTAATATGTCTAATAAAATACTTTAGAGTTAATATAGGTTTCTGAATCCTATCTTTCCATTGATTTTTATTATAAAATTACCAGGAAAAATGGAAATAATAATAGCAATATTTAATGTTTTTTGAACTCTTACCATGTTCCAGGCACTATTATCAACACTTCAAATGGAATAATCTATTTAATCCTCATAACATCCCTATGGTCTGGGTGTTACTTCTTCCCATATTTTATGGATAATGAAATGAGATGCAGAGATTTTACATATTCTACCCAAGATCACTGCTACTAAATGACATAGTGAGGATTCAAATCTGTAGTCTAGTTTTAAAATTCATGGTCTTAACCAACACAATTTAATGCATCATGATATAATGAAATAGTGCTAAATACAAATAAGGCCTAAAAACTATCAAATGGAAAATTCAATAGAGTACCAATGATGTCATTGAACGTTTTAATAGTAACGTAGTTATATGCTGCACGATTTCATCAAAATAAGTTAAAATACATCTTTGCTTGCAAGAAAAAAATGTCTTCTTATGTTAAAATTATGCATATGCTATGAAGTGAGTCTTTGTATACCCCCAAAATTTATATGTTGAAATCCTAATCCCCAAGGTAATGGCATTAGGAGGTGGGGCTGCTGGGAGGTGACTGGTTCATGAGGGTGGACCCCTCATCAATGAGATAAGAGCCTGTATTAGTCAGGCTTCTCCAGAGGGACAGAACTAATGGAATATATATATATATGTATATATATATGATTATGTATATATACATAATTATATATGTGTGTGTATATACATGTCAATATATAGATGAGTTTGTTAAGTATTAACTCACACGATCACAAGGTCCCACAGTAGGCCATCTACAGGCCGAGGAGCAAGGAGAACCAATCCAAGTTCCAAAACTGAAGAACTTGGAGTCTGACGTTCGAGGGCAGGAAGCACCCAACATGGGAGAAAGATGTAGGCTGAAAGGCTAGGACAGGCTTCTTTTCACATTTTGCTGCCTGCTTATATTCTAGCTGCGCTAGCAGATGATTAGATTGTGCCCACCCAGATTAAGGGTGAGTTTGTCTGTGCCATCCCACTAACTCAAATATTAATCTCCTTTGGCAGCACCCTCACAGACACACCAAGGATCAATACTTTGTATCCTTCAAGTGGACACACAGTATTAACCATCACAAGTCCACCCCTTGTCAACTTGATCCTATATACGTCTCCTGAGATCATACATAATCTTCAAAAAAAGACAATGATAAGGTCATAATCACATCTAACATGATACAACTTTCCTTTGTACAACCAGAAATGCACCAATCCCCAACCCCAATACTATTACAAAAAGTTAACAATACTTAAATGCTGATGTGAAGTCAATAAATCTTATGTCACATGATAAAGAAGAGAGGAAATAAAATGAAGATATTTTCTTAGTACAAGTGTATACATGCACAAACATGTTTTTAACAAAAGAAGAAAGAAATACTCAGGACCCAATTACAGTCCTCATTTCTGTGGCTGGTCACGTGGTCGTAGCTGTTATTTATGACTACCTTATTCTACTCCCCATTCTGTATTCCCTTTGCCTTCAGCAAGCACCTCAGCAGGTAGTGGGGTTTTTTCCTGGTGGAGTGACCCAAAACTTCATTCCAGAAGTCATCTGTAGTCAGTCCAGAAGTCATTCCAGAAGGGAGGTCATTTGTAGTCCTCCCTGGATTGGGCTGTTGTAGTTTCCCATTGATCTTAATCACAGGACATGGTAATACTAAGAGACATCCTAATGGATCTGCTGTATTCCATGCATTCTCTTCCTTACCTTTGTTGTGGAGTAGTAGACTGATTTCATCTTAATAGTCTGGGTCAATCACCCCAGCCAACACTGTAACTCTCTTCTTAGCCTGTTGACTTAAAGGTAGGAGAAGGCCAAAGTATCCAGGTGGCAATCTCAACTTTCAGTTTGATAGAATCCTTGTTGTATCTCCTGGTGGCAGCATTCCTCCCTATGGAACTAAGACCTCTAGGTCAGCAGAATGTAATGTCATGGGAACAGGAAGCAAAAATTTTGCTGGTGGATCACTAGGGGTGATGGTGAGTGGTGCCACTTCCACTTCCACCCCTTGCTTCCTGGACCTATGAATCCTGGCTATGGGAGAAACAGTACCATATATTAGATGCTGATTCAGAACAAACACAGCCTTCTGGAGAACTTTGCTCCAGCCCTGCAAAGTACTGTCACCTAGTTGGTGGTGTAATTTTGATTTCAAAATGGCATTCCACCATTCTATCATTCCAGTTGCTTCAGGATGATGGGGAACATGGTAAGACCAGTGAATTCCATGAGTTTGAGCCCACTGCCCTCCTTCTTTAGCCACAGAGTGAATGTCTTGGTCGGAGGCAATGCTGTGTGGAATACCATGACGGTGGATAAGGAATTCCATGGTTCATGGACGGCAGTCTTGGCAGATGCATTGTGTGCAGGATAGGCAAACCCATATCCAGAGTAAGTGTGTATTCCAGTGAGGACAAACCTCTGCCCTTTCCATGATGGAAGAGGTCCAATATAATAAACCTGCCACCAGGTAGCTGGCTGATCACCCCGAGGAATGGTGCCATATTGAGGGCTCAGTCTTGGTCTTTGCTGCTGGCAAATTGGGCACTCAGCAGTGGCTGTAGCCTGGTCAGCCTTGGTGAGTGGAAGTCCATGTTGCTGAGCCCATGCATAACCTCCATCCCTGCTACCATGGACACTTTGTTCATGGGCCCATTGGGCAATGATGGTGGTGGCTGGGGAAAGAGGCTGAGTGGTGTCCACAGAAAGGGTCATCCTATCCACTTGATTATTAAAATCTTCCTCTTCTGAGGTCACCCTTTGGTGAGCACTCACATGGGATACAAATATCTTTACAGTTTTTAACCACTCAGAGAGGTCCATCCACATACCTCTTCCCCAAATTTCTTTGTCCATGCTTCTTCCATGTCCCTGACTATACACCCAAACCATTGGCTACAGCCCATTAATCAGTATATAATAACATATCTGGCCACTTCTCCTTCTATGCAAAGTGCACAACCAGGTTCACTCCTTGAAGTTCTGCCCACTGGGAAGATTTTCCTTCACCGCTGTCCTTCAGAGATGTCCTAGAAAGGGGCTGTAATGCTGCAGCTGTCCACTTTTGGGTTAAGCCTGCATATCATAGAGAACCCTCTGTGAACCATACTCTAGCCTTCTCTTCCGCTGTCAACTGATCATAGGGAACTTGCCATGAGGCCACCAGTGCAGGCAGTGGGAGAGAAGGCAGGGTGACAGGAGTGGAGACCATGGGCATTTGAGCCACCTCCTCATGTAACTTACTTGTTCCTTCAGGACCTGCTCGAGCCCAGTCACATACGCACCACTTCCATTTGATGATGGACTGCCTCTGTGCATGACCCACTTTATGGCTAGATGGGTAGGAAAGCATCCAGTTCGTGATAGGCAGTTCAGGTCACATGGTGACTTGATGACCCAATCAAACATTCAGTTTCCACCAAAGCCCAGTAACAGGCCAAGAGATGTCTCTCAAAAGGAAGCTAGTTATCTGCAGAAGATGGCAGGGCCTTGCTCCAAAATCCTGGCAGCCTCTGCTGTGATTTACTTATGGGGGCCTGCCAGGGGCTGCAAACAGCATCTCCGTCTGCCGCTGACACCTCAAGCACCATTGGATCTGCTAAGTTATAACGCCCAAGTGGCAGAGCAGATTGCACAGCAGCCTGGACCTGTTGCAGAGCCTTTTCCTCTTCTGGACACCACTCAAAGCTAGCAACCTTTCAGGTCACCTGATAAATTGGCCAGAGTAACACACTGAAATGAGGAATGTGTTGCCTCCAAAATCCAAATAGGCCTACAAAGTGTTGTGTCTCTTTCTTAGTTTTAGGAGGGGCCAAATGCAGCAACATACCCTTTACCTTACAGGATATATCTCAATGGGCCCCACACCATTGGACCTCCATAAATTTTACTGAGATAGAAGGTCCCTGAATTTTAGTCAAATTTATTTCCCATCCTCTGGTATGCAAAAGTGTCACCAATAAGTCCAGTATGTTTGCTACTTCTTGCTCACTGGATCCAATCAGCATAATGTCATCAATATAATGGACCAGTGTGATATCTTGCAGAAGCGAAAAGCAATCAAATTATCTCCAAATAAGATTATGACACAAAGCTGGAAAGTTGATATACCCCTGAGGTTGGACAGTAAAGGTATATTGCCGGCCTTGCCAGCTGAAGGCAAATTGCTTCTGGTGGGCCTTATGGACAGAAATGGAGAAAAATGCATTTGCCAAGTCAATGGCTGCCTACCAGGTACAAGGAAATGTGTTAATTTGCTCAAGCAATGAAACCACATCTGATACAGCATCACTTGGTTAAGCTTACGATAATCCACTGTCAGTCTCCAAGATACATCTGTCTTCCGCACAGGCCAAATGGGAGAGTTAAACTGAGATGTGGTGGGAATCACCACCTATGTGTCTTTCGAGTCCTTGATGGTGGCACTAATCCCCACAATCCCTTCAGGAATGCAATATTGTTTTGGATTTACTCATTTTTTTAGGTAGAGGCAGCTCTAATGGCTTCCATTTGGCCTTTCCCACCACAATAGCCCTCACCCTACCAGTCATGGAGCCAATGTGGGGATTCTGCCAGCTGCTAAGTATGTCTATGCCAATTATGCATTCTGGCACTGGGGAAATGACCACAGGATGAGTCCGGGGACCCAATGGGCCCACTGTAAGTGAGACCTGAGCTAAAACTCCATTAATTACCTGACCTCCATAACCCCCTACTTTAACTGGAGGACCACAATGACGTTTTGGGTCCCCTGGAATCTAAGTCAGCTCAGAGCCAGTATCCAGTAGTCTCTGAAATGTCTGATCATTTCCCTTTCCCCACTGCACAGTTACCCTGGTAAAAGGCAGGACGTCTCCATGGGGAAGGATGGGAGAAAGATTAACAGTATACATTGCTGGTAATGTAGTGGGGTCCTTTCTCAAGGGTACCCGGCCTCCCCTTCATTCAAGGGGTTCTTGGTCTGTAAGCTGGCTCAAGTCTGGAAATTGATTGAAGGGCCATGATTCTCTGTTTTTATAATTCAAATTAGTCTTTTGTCCATTCAACCTAGAAGTGTTCTGCTTTTATAAATTAAGTAGGAATGCAGCAGCCTTCCTATCAATTTCACTTCTAGGAACACCATGGTCAATTAGCCAATGCCAGAGCTCTACATAGTCAGACTGTTCTGATTGCCGCTTTGTCTCTGCTGTTCATTACTGTAATTACACCCACCTTGCCTTTGACTGTTGAGTGCTGCCACTTGGCCTCTGCCTCCTTGGAATCTAGTTATTCCCACCGTATTTAAATTTTGTAATTGAGTGACTGCAGTTCCCTCCATTAGATCTGACCTACAGAGAAGAGCAATCACAGGGCTCTTCAAAGATGCAGGTGCTGTCCTCACAAATCTATTTCGCAAGGCATTGGTCAAGAGTATATCTTCTGGACCCTTCCAGCTGTGATGAGTAGGTCTAAAGTGACTAATCCACTACAACATACCAATCTCCCTAAGCCTTTTGATCTCTTCCTCTACATTAAACCAAGGGATATCAGGCATTTCCAGCTTACTCACAGTGCGCCATCTTTTAATCCATATTTCAGCTAACCAAGAAAATAAACTATTAGAACCTTTTTTAATTCCTTGAGCTAAAACATTAAATGCAGAGTCCTTACTTAGTGGACCCAAATCAATAAATTCAACCTGATCCAACTGGATGTTCCTTCCACCATTATCCCATACCCATAATATCCATTCCAATGCCTGTTCTCCAGATTTCTCTTCATACAAATTAGAAAACTCAAGCAGTTCTTTCACAGTGTAGCCCACCACCTCATGGATCACATTCTCAACCTCACCTCTAGGGGCCTGCTGGGACTTTTAATCTAGTTATAGGTCTAGAAGCAAACAGGGATGTTGGGGGTGGCTTCTGAAGAGAATCAACAAAATCTTGCCTGGCAACTCCCTCAGGGGAGGCCATCACTGTTGCCTCAGGCAGCACAGGGTTTATCTCCTCAGACAAAGGTGGAAAGGCTGATGGCAACATCAGTTGGGGAGAGGATGTTGCCACTGCTGGGGATGGTGAAGCTGTCTTGTCTGGCAAAAAGGTTCATCAGAGTTTACAAACTCAATGTCCCCAGATTCATCAGGGTCCCCCCACACATCCCCATTCCAAGTTTCAGGGTTCCCTTCTTTTCCAATCAATACCCTCACTTTAACAGTCGACATCTGGCAAGGCTGTGCATGCATTTTTAGTTGCAGGTAAGCCACTCGCAAGATAAGAGCTCATATCTGTTTCTCCACAATTTCAGCTCTTTCTCTACTGGAGATAAGACTCTCACTCAGGGCAATCTTAACAGACTTAAGGCTCAGTATGTGCTTCTGAACCCTGAGTTCATCATTTTCTTTCATCACTTTGTCCACTGAACTTAGGAACAGCCATCTTTCTTCATTATGTTTCTTGGTTCTCCACATATGGCCAAAGGTATTATGTATACAGTTACTAAACTCCTTGCCTCTCACGACTGATCAATCAGGATTTTTAAATGCATTTATTTTGCATAAATCTCTAAATAGTTCATTCCAAGGACTATCAGTGTTCTCCATACTATTAGAAGCAGAATCCTTAGCATTTTGGGTCTGATCAGATTTTAGCAGCCAACTCCAGAAACCCCCAAAACCAATGAAAGAACTCCATTCTTAATATATATATAAAAGGGAGTTTATTAAGTATTAACTCACGTGATCCCAAGGTCCCACAATAGACTGTCTGCAGAAGGAGGAGCAAGGAGAGCCAGTCTGAGTTCCAAAACTGAAGAACTTGGAGCTCGATGTTCTATGGCAGGAAGCATACAGCAGGGGGGAAAGATGCAGGCTGGGAGGCTAGGCCAGTCTGTCTTTTCACATTTTTCTGCCTGCTTATATTCTAGCTGGGCTGGCAACTGATTAGATTGTGCCCACCCAGATTAAGGGTGGGTCTACATTTCACAGCCCACTAACTCAAATATTAATCTCCTTTGGCAACACCCTGACAGATGCACACAGGATTAATGTTTTGTATCCTTCAATCCAATCAAGTTGACACTCATTATTAACCATCACAGAGCCCTTATAAAAGATGTTTATGAGAGACCCCTCTCTTCTTCAATATGTTAGGACACAGCAAGAAGGCACCATCTGTGAACCAGAACGTGGTTTCTCACCAGATACCAAATCTGCCAGCAACTTGATATTGAACTTCCCAGCCTCTAGAACTGTGAGAAATAAATTTCTGTTGTTTATAAGCTACCAAGTTTATGGTCTTTTGTTATAACAGTCCCAATAGACTAAGATAGCATATGCTACATCCACATACTCCCCTAGAGCTACTGTGAAAGGACAGATAAGTATACAAAATAGGACATGAAAGAATTGTAGTTATGCCTTTGTATGTTACATGATTATGTGTTTCCTAGTGCCTAGCAGCATCCTTTGCACACAAGTGGCATCCAATAAATGTTTATTGATTTGGATAGACATTTATTGGTAGCCCTGCAAGGGAATTATAAGGCATAAAGCATCCAAATGCCTTCTTCAAACATAGTTAAATTTAATTCTATGCGGCAGTATAAATTATGAAATAATCTTTTTTTCAAAAGTCTTCAGCAATATATGGGCAGGTAAATGCTTTGGTCATAGGCTGTAAGAATGTTGAAGCACAGACATCAGAAATCTTCTAGCCCAAACCTCTCATTTACAAAAGAGGGAAATGTTCCAAGGGTTCATTGACTTGCCCACACAGCTGGTTCATTGCAAAAGTGTGACTAGTCTCTGGATGCCTAGGTTGACTTGAGAGGTGCAGGTATGTACACAAACGCACACAAATTCTATCTGCCATAAACAGTCTTTCTCATTAGTATACTACAGTTCTGAAATCCTAGCATTAAAAGATATTGCTTTTAATTATGTAAATAATTAAGTCATCTGGTACCCAAGATTTGGGGGAAAAAAAAAGGAAAAACAATGGCCTGACCCTTCACATTTTTCATGAGTTGGTGCTGTGCTGAGTGTTTTGGCTGTCAGGTAACTGCTAATTGAATGCTTTCTGCAGCTCCACTGGTAGCAAAAAGTTACTATGTACCTGAGGAATGCTCTTAGTGGACATCTGGAACTTGTTCTCCAGTAGTATTTTTATTTCTCATTTTAACCTTCTCTATTCTAAAGTGAGGTATCCACCGACCCAAACCTAAGAGAGTGCTAATGCTGACAATGTGTATAAAGGGAAGCATAATCTGTCTATCTCTCTTGGCTTTCTTGCCTACTTTGCACCTCTTAGATGTAAAAACAAAATAAGACAGTTGAATATCGAGCATGTCACATAAACAGAAATCACCTGTTAACTCCTTAAAACTATATTTATTTATTCATACATTTACTAGCATCGATTAGTTAAAAATGTAGTTGATATAGTGATTATTGTTGACTCCTCAACATCCAGTTTATCACCCCAACAAATAGCATCAGTACAATTTTGTGACCAAGGCTGGATTCTGATTTATTATTATTGAAGATACTTAAAATAATCCAATTCCCTTTGGCAGTGATTGGGATGAGTCCTTTGGCCAACTTGGTCTTATGAGACATGAGAAAATATTTAGAGGGCTTCTAAGAAGTTTCCTCACTCTCACAAACAAACTACAGAAGAATGACAGCCCTCTGTCCCTTTCCTACTGGATGTGAATAAAATGTATAGCCCTTATTGCTACTACAACGATTATTTAATGACATATCAGGGTTACCTGGGCCAGATAATTCTTTACTGTAGGGATATTATAGGATGTTTAACAACATCTCTGGCCTATAAAACTAGATGCTAGTAGCACCCTTCCAGTCATGGCAATAAAAATCATTTCCAATATTGTCAAATGTGTCCCCTCGGGGGCAAAATCTTCCCCAGTTGAGAAACATCGACTTAGATAAAGCTAGAAGAGTAGACAGCAGCAGGGAGAGATTAAAGGAAACTAAATGCATGGCTATGTCATTAAGACTCTAGGTCAACTCATTCTGAAAACTTCTTTACATCTGGCCTATCACATGAGCCAATAAATTCCATGCCTTTACTCTCTTAACTAGTGTGAGTTGATTTGTCGCCTGCAGTGAACGGCAGCATAGTGGTTACTGAGCAAAACCTGGAGTGAATTGGATAGTGGTAAGAAGAGATAAAAAGATACAATCTCAAGGAAAAAGCAGATGGCTTATGGCAGAAGATGAGAAATATCGAGTTGGGGGCACACGATGGTGATTAACTTGGAGAAGTAAGTGCCAAAACAGGTTGTTAGAAATAAAAAGGGAAAGGGCAAAAGTACAAGAAAGACTTACTCTTATAGAGAGAATTTTAAACTAATGCTAGCCGCATTTTACTATTTTTCCCCAATTATTTGTTTCAACAGCAAACGTAATACATTTGCATAGT
This sequence comes from Homo sapiens, assembly GCF_000001405.40. Lineage (NCBI taxonomy): Eukaryota > Metazoa > Chordata > Mammalia > Primates > Hominidae > Homo > Homo sapiens. The sequence continues at coordinate 188,913,233 of NC_000002.12, forward strand.
ACATTCACCTCCCTCTTCCCTAAATGACTACTTCACATGACCAAGCTCTTCAAACCTCAAACACTTTCTCAACATCTTCACATGGAGAGGGATGTGGAGGTTCCTCTCCACCCCCCACAGTCAAAGTTAAGTTGTCATCAACTTAAAATAACCTGCTATAACTATAATATGCTCTGTAAGCCTCATGGTTACCACAAAGCAAAAGCCTATATTAGATGCACAAAAAATAAAAACTAGGAATGAAAACATAGCACTAGAGAAAAACGTTTAGATGCAAAGGAAGACAGCAAGAGAGAAAGAAAGGAAGTATCAAAAAAAAAACTAAAAAAATTAACAAAATGAATCTTTACCTATCAATAATTATATTGAATGTATATGGATTAAATTCTTCAATCAGAAGACATAGAGTGGCTGAATAGATTAAAAAAAAAACAGGACCTAGCTATATACTACCTACAACAAACTAACTTCACCTGTAAGGACACACATAAACTGACAGTGAAGGGATGGAAAAAGATCTTTCATGCAAATGGAAACCAAAAGAGGGCAGGAGTAGCTGTAATTATATCAGATAAAGTAGACTTTAAGTCAAAAATTATAAAAATAGAGAAGGAAGGTCATTATATAATGATAAAGAGGTCAATTCTGCAAGAGGATATAACAGTTGTACATATATATACATATATATAGGCATCTGACAGAGCAAGTAAATATATCAAGCAAATATTAATAAATTTGAAAGAAAAAATAGACTGCAACATGATGATTGTGGGGACTTCAAGACCCTGCTTTCGGGAGTAGATCCTCCAGACAAAAAAATAATTCAGGTAATGTCAGACTTAAAATAGAGTTTAGATTAAATGGACCAAACAGACATATACAGAACATTCTACCCAACAGCTGCAGAATATACATTCTTCTTAAGTGGATATAGAACATTCTCCAGGACAGATTATATATTATGCCACAAAACCAGTCCTAACAAATTTAAGAAGATTGAAATCATGTCAAATATCTTTAATGACCACAATGAAAAAAAGAGCTAGAAATCAATAAGAGAAAGAATTTTGGAAAATTCACACCTACATGGAAATTAAATGTGGTCCTGAAGAACTAAGAGGTCAATGAATAAATTAAAAGGTAAATTAAAAATTGTCTTGAGACAAACTAAAATGAAAACACAACACACTAAAACCCATGAGAAATAGCAAAGGCAGTTCTAAGAGGAAAGTTGATAGAAATAAAAAGTCTACATCAAAATAGAATGATCTCAAATAAACAATGTAATGTTGCACCTCAAGGAACTAGAAAAACAAGAACAAACTAAGCTCAAAGTTAGTGGAAGGAAGGAAATGATAAATACTAGAGTAGAAATAAATGAAATAGAGACCAGAAAAAACATAGATAAGATCAATTAAACCGAGATGGTATTTTTAAAAGATAAAATTGACAAACCTTTAGCTAAACTAAATAAGAAAAAAAAGAGAAAACGCAAATATATAAAAACAGAAATAAAAATAAAGACATTAGAACGGATACCACAGAAATCCAAAGAATCATAAAAGACTATCATGAACAATTATATGCCTACAAATTGCATAACTTAGAAGAAATGGATAAATTCCTTGACACATACCATTTATCAATATTGAATTATGAAGAAATAGAAGATCTGAAAAAATGAATAATGAGTAAGGATATTGAATCAGTAATAAAAAGTTTCCCACCAAAGAAAGCCAGGACTTGATGACTTCACTAACGAATTCTACCACTGAATTCACACATGCATGTATATACACATAGAGATATAATGCCATGATTTTCATATAAATCATGTGTATTCTTCACATTCATATATAAACCTATATTCCTCACAAACATAAATTATGTACATATTAGTCTTATTATTATGTCATGTATGTCATGAACATCTTTTTCAACTAAGTACACACTTTCTATCATTTTTGCTAGCTGTGTATTACATCAGTAAAATTTACTATAATGAGTTAATCATTCCATTATTTAAATTTTTATTGTATTTAGAGTAACATTCTACAAAGAATATCTTTCTTAATTGTATGTATTGGTATTTTTGATTTTGCTCCTGTAGATGAGATCTTTTAAATTTTGTTTAAAAATAATGATTTTTAGCATAAAGAAAAACTATTGAGCTTTGTCTTGTACCTAGTCACTTAATAGCATTTATTTTATTAGATTTAACAAATTTTAATAAAATTTTCTAGGAGTACATTAATATCATCTGAGAATAATTATGATATTGACCCTCCTTTTGTGATATTTAGTGTGATTAATTGTGCTTAACATATTGTATTTGGTAGAAATTCCAAAAATTATTTGAACAATAGTGGTAACAGAAATTATCCTAACTTCTTTCCAAACTAACACTTGTGGAATACAGTCATTTATGTATATGTGAACAATTAACTGTTACTAATTTTTAATTACATTTAAGAAGTTCCCTTTTATTATTTCTTGGCTTTTATCAAGAATAAATGCTGGGCCGGGCGCGGTGGCTCACGCTTGTAATCCCAGCACTTTGGGAGGCCGAGGCGGGTGGATCACGAGGTCAGGAGATCGAGACCATCCTGGCTAACACGGTGAAACCCCGTCTCTACTAAAAATACAAAAAAAAATTAGCCGGGCGTGATGGCGGGCGCCTGTAGTCCCAGCTACTCGGGAGGCTGAGGCAGGAGAATGGCGTGAACCCGGGAGGCGGAGCTTGCAGTGAGCCAAGATTGCGCCACTGCACTCCCGCCTGGGCCACAGAGCGAGACTCCGTCTCACAAAAAAAAAAAAAAAAAGAATAAATGCTGTTGATGTTTATCAAATGCTTTTTGGAGGGAGCATTTCAGGATGTAATTGCTTACTTTTTCTTCTTTAATTTGTTAATGAAATTAATTAACACAGTGAATTTCCTAATAATGAATCACCCTTTCATTCCTGAAATTAATCTGCATGGACACTGGGGATTATATGCTGATTTATTCACTTTGTTATACACCTGGATTTTCTTTAAGGCCTGGAATAGGTATTGTTCTGTATCTATTTGGTCAATGTGGCATAAAGGGATAGTCATGAAATTTTGACTTTCAGTGAATTGGAATCAAATTCTAACTTCATGTTTTAGTAGCTGTGTGACATGGGCAAATTAAAATCTCTGAGTCTAAATGTTTTCATCTTTATGCAGAACTGCTATAAGTTTCTGAATATGAATTTGTTAAAGAATAAAATGTGAGAAGATATATAAAACCCTGGCATGGCCCCAACTCTCAGTAAATGTTAATTTACCTGTTCTGTGAACTAATAAGTAAGGATGCCAGGACAACACATAGCTATGCTTTCAAGTGGATTAGGATGAATTTCCTCCCGAGTTACTGTGGAAATGTCCAATTGTGTATGCATAAATAGCAAAGGTGATATCAATATCATACTAAAGGTCTTTTTTTTTCTGTTACTGCTTTAATAATAGCAGCTGCCAGTGAGTGAATCTCCTGGCTGAAGTACCTTTACAGCAATCTGTCTTTTTCATAACAGAACTGTTTGATCCAAACATGTGTTCTTGTCAAACCTTTCCCAGGACTCCTTATTTATAACTACAGTAAATGCAGCCAGTGGCCAGTGTAGTTCTCCTTACATATAATCACTAAAACATATTTGCAATTGAATAGTTACTGCTGTTTCCTTCTCTGAATTTCTTTCTAGGACACATGGAAAGGCAGAAGGCCACTGTTTGCATAGCCAAACATCTCTGTGTCTGGAAATTTCCTTGGGCAGTCTATGCAGTAGGTTTCTAAGTATGATCAGCATGCATCTTACACTGGAAATTGTGAAAGCAGCTACCAGTACTATGTCTGGCACAGACAAGATTTTAAATAAATATATGAATAAATAAAAGGATAAGAATTTAATTAAAAGATAAGTTGTTTGGGAAACATCTTAATAACTTGGAGTACTGAAACAAATGGTTTTAATAGAAAATGTAACTTATCCATCCATTCACACATTCATTCAAATAAATATTGACTGAGGGCTTGCTATTTTTCAGACACTAAGTCACTGCAAACATTCTGTTCACTATGACATCCTGGCCTACATGGAGATTACAGTGCGGTGAATAGATGGTTATTGAACACACACATAATTCCAAAATTACTGAAGATTTTAGAGAAATCTAATTATGAAGCTTGTAATAGGGAATAAAAATATAGAAAGTTCATGTTTTATCTATAGAAATTGAGATTTGGTGCATTGAATCCTCCTTAATCTACATTTGTACTGGTAATGTATAAGAATAGCAATTGATCATATTATGATCACCTTCTGAATACTGGATGATCTAAAATCTGATTGAAGATCTAGTGTTTAAATGAGCTTTACTATAAACTTATCATCTACAAAATCAAGAGATCACATGCACAGAGAACAACATTGAGTCAGCCATTTAGAGGTTGGCTATTTTCTTTCAAAAGCTAAACATCCTTTTATTGCCCATTAGCAACACAGCACTGAGAAATAATACTATTCAAAAATAGACAGCTAAATCTTTAAATGCTAACATAGTATAATCTGTAAAATGCTGACTGGATGAAAGTAACACAGAAAGAGAGTAGAATATGCTCAACAAATGGAAACATAATCAAAACCATAAAATATGTTATAATTCAATGTAGAAAAAACACATAAGGAAAAATTACAGATGAATTTTACATAAGATTGAAGGCCCTACACGGATATTTAAGAAACAACTACTCTTTGACTAGTCTGGGCCTACAAGCTGAACATGGGTAACTTTCACTTTTGGTGAGAAAAAGCCAATCAACTAGCATGCAATGCACTCATCCCTGGCAATAATTATCAAGCTCCTTTACTGTCTTCTCATAATCTTCTGGCAAGAGTCTATAGAACCTTGAAGATCATCAGCTTCTACTCACAGAAATTCCACTATGACTACATGAGGAACTCTTGGTTAGATACCCAAAAGCAACACATATGCATTTTGTGAACTTTCCCTTACTCTGCCCTATTAGGTAGACCCCTCCCATCACTTCCTACCCTTATGAAATTATCCTCTCAAGGAACTCAGACTTCATGAAAAACAAGATTCTGAAAGGCACAGTCAACCATCCTTTGAAGAAATTGCCAAGACCTGGCTCTCTTCTCAGAAAAGGAAACAGAAAAGTAGAGTGAACACAAAATACATATCAATATCTCAATATTCTCAGCAGAATCTTCCATTCACTTGGATCCCCTTCATCGGAATTTTAAATCCTTAAGTATTTCCCATCAGCCTAAAAACAAAAATAAAACCAAAAATAAATTCTTTACCACCAATGACAACTACACTGTCAAATTTCATGTCGGACTATTTTTTTTCAGCCCTCTGAGTTATTGACCTGATTTTGAATAGGAATATACTCCAATAAAAAACACACTGCCGATCTATCCTCTCAGCTGGTTTTCAATATTTTTGATTAGCTCTTCCTTCTTCAAACCTTCCCCAGTTTTTCCTCTATAACAAACACCTCTTGCTTATACCAACCTTTTGATCAGCTCTCAGCCTCCTCAACCCAACTGTTAGATGTTAGAGTTTTTTATGGCTAGACTGTAAGCCTTCTTCTCATTCTGTTCTCTCATCCAAGTCTACAGTTTCAATTCCAACTAGACACCAACATCTTGCAAATTTACATTTTAACCCCAGATAATTTTACTGGGTTTCTGTGTTAGTTCGTTCTCATACTGCTTGAATAAATACCTGAGACTGAGTAATTTATAAACAAAAAAGATTTAATTGACTCACAGTTCTGCATTGCTGGGGATGCCTCAGGAAACTTAAATCATGGCAAAGGGGAAGCAAGGCACTTTTTCACAGGGTGGCAGGACAGAGTGAGTGCAAGCCAGTGAAATGTCACATGCTTATATAACCATCAGATCTCATGATACTCATTCACTATCACAAGAACAGCATGGGGAAAACCGCCACCATGATCCAGTTACCTCCACCTGGTCCTGCCCTTGACACATGAGGATTATGGGTAATGGGGATTACCATTCAAGATGAGATTTTGTGTGGGGGCACAGCTAAGCCGTATCAGTTCCAAACATGTATGTAGAATTATTTACTGAACAGTTTCACTTAGATATCTCAATGCGCCTCAAACTCAACAGGGCCAAAAACAAATTCCTGATTTCTCCCTGCCAAAACAAATTAACACAATGAATGAATGAACAAAGCAAATCAATTTCTACAAAATTAACTACCTGGTTGTCTTCTGGTGTTTCTTATTTCTTATCTCAACATCCACATACGACTGGATAAATTAGAAACCTAATGCTTAGCCTTACTCCCATATTCAACCAATTTTTTAGACTTCAATTCCTAAACCTCTCTTAAATGCACTCACTCTTTTTTAGCCTGTCTCTCGTAACCCTAGTATAGGCATTCATTTTCCCCAGGCTTGATTTCTGAATTGCCTGACTGGTTTCTTCGTATCCACTCACACTGTCTTCCAATCCTATCCTCATACCACCATTAAAGTAATGTTTTGAAAGCTAAAATTTCATCATGCTTTTCTCCCTTACTTAGAAACCCTTCAATAGCATGTTGGCCTATTTAGAAGAAAGTCTTGTACCGTCCTATAGTATGCAACGCCTTATGCTATTTCATTGCTGCCTACATTTCTTGCTTTGTCTTACACAGTCCACCCTTGCTGTCTGCTCCAGCTTCACTGACATTTTCTCAGTTCCTCAGAATAAATCATCCTCTCTCCCACCACAAGTCTTTTGCTAAAACTGTGCCCTATACTCTAGTGCCTTCTCAACTTTGAAGAAAGTTCTCATTCATGCCAACTTTCATTTCCTGAGAGAACTCTCATAAGCCATAAATCAGGTCAAGAACTTGTGTTACATACTCTGGTAGCACAACACACCAGTTCTTTATAACAGCATTGTTATATATCAAATAGTATTTGTAATAAATTGATTATTGTTCCTCTTTCCCAGTTCCTCTCCATAATGGCAAAAATCTTGAGTGCTTTTGTCACAGTTATATACCTAGGGTCTGGCACAGAACTTGTCACATAATTAATGTTTAATAAATTTTATGGTATGAAAACCCAAAGGAACTAATTCTATAGAGATAGATATTAGTTAATTTGATAAAGTGGGACTGGGTGCAGTAGCTCATGCATGTAATCCCAGCACTTTGGGAGACTGAGGCAGGTTGATCGTTTGAGCCCAGGAGTTCGAGACCAGTCTGGACAACATGGTGAAACCCTGTCTCTACAAAAAAATTAAAAAAAAATTATCCAGGCATGGTGGAATGCATCTGTAATCATCGCTACTCAGGAGGCTGAGGTGGGAGGATCACCAGAGCCCAGGGAGATGCAGTGAGCCATGATTATTCCACTGGACTACAGCCTGGCTGGCAGAGTGAGATGCTGTCTGAAAGAAAAAAAACTGATATAGAGGAACAAATAACTGCCTGTTTTTCAATCATTTATCTTTGATCAAGAAGTACATAAATACTTTTTGATCAGTGTATATTGACATTAATAAAAATGCCTATTTTCTTACCTGTGTATACCTTAATAATATTTTTGAATGACTGATCAGTGGAAGAGCAGGAAAGAGTAAGGTGGAACTTTGCATTTATTTCACTTCTCCATTTTCATAATGCAAAATGTTGGCTCTTATTATTTATATATAACTTGAAACATATTGCTGGTTTATATCTATAAATATAGATATAAATATTATATATGTCATAATTATAACAATAAAGTATTTAAGGGAGCTGGACCCTTCCTATCTTCAATAGTTAAATTAGTCTTTTTTAAATTTAGGAAGAGATATTTTTTACAACTTCTTGACACCAGTAGTCACAAAGTGATAATGAGAATTTATAAAAATTTATCAAAAAATGAAAATGTCAGGCAATGCTTGACTGTATTGAGAGACCTATGGATTTTAATTGCAGTTGGTAAAACTTGAATATAACTAGCTGATTTTCCACTCGCCATGGTGGAGGCAAAAAAAAGCAAACAAACAAAAGGAGGCATCCTTTTAAGTAATTGATACAATTTATGGTGCTTATTACCAACTTCGAGCCATTTACAAGCTCTGAAAAAAATTAGAGCCACTGATCAAGAATATATATCCCAAGGCTATATAGCTAATATACTAGCATAATCAATTCTTTTAAAATTGCTGTTTAATTTCAATGCATATATGCTATTCACTAAAATACAAATGTAATTTTTAACTATCACACAAGATATCAAAATTGATTTTACATTTTTATTTTAAAGTTTTCATTAGGTGTTCATTGACTGTAAGACTGAGTGTCTATTAGTCATAAAATTCTCAGCTGAATGTATCCTAAAATATAATAAATTATTATGTGCCACTTTACTGCTAATATTTTCAAATCCAAGTTTGTATAACACACTCTCCAACTTCTTTTTAAAAGCTACAAAAACTATGTCACAGGCAGAAACACTAAAACCAGATTCTAAGTATTTTCAAAGGAGACAAATGGCAAATGCACATTTAGCTCACAAGCAGAAGACCTCTCTTAATTTATTCAACAATTAAATTTGTTAGATACTACACTGGTAGCTAAGAATGTTCCCGACCTCACAGGGCTTAATCTAGTTCTCTCCAAAAATTTTAATCACAACTTTGGTAAATCCTGTGACATATAGATTTATTTTTTACCCTCAACCATTGTTTGTATTATGATTCTCATTATATTAAAATAGCATTTGAAGTTGACATTTAATTGTTCATATTATACATACCAAATAGACAAAATAAATATTTTGATTTGTCAATATTTGATTTTGTCACTTTTTAAAAATATTTTTTAAAATTAACCTCATATGTACATCAAATGAAAAACAAAATAGATATTATCTTTAGAAGGGAAAATGGTTTTTCAATTCACTTTATGACCGAAGACTTCATATTTTAAATTATTCTAGGTCATTTTAAAAACAAATGTTCTCATCTGTTCCCCTTTACTATTTATACACCTTCTAGATCCCACCCCACAGGTTGGCAGGAATTTGCATGGCTGTGTTGTTGGAGGGAAGTATTCATGCTGCTAGAGTGGAGCATGAATGAAAGGGTGTGTCCAGGGATCTGTAAAAATGTTTTTCTTGAACAGTATTGACTATTCTTTAATGCCAGTTGAGTCATGCAAGATCATGCACTTCCAGCACAATGAAGGGAATAGTCTCTGTTCTCCATCTATGTTAATTTGAGTGGATTTTGAAAACCAGCCACCTGTTTTTCTCTACCTGTTCATCACAAAATTATATTTTGCAATCAGATTAACCATAATACCGAGATGTAGATAGAAATGATTTGTATACAACTATTACTACTGCTTATGTCAGTGGGCAAAATGGGTTATGCAAAATGGGCAAAATGCAAAAATGCATTTTAACACCCCTCCCTTTGTCTTATAATTGTCAATGAATGCCTCCTGATCTGATCCTACCATCACAAGGAAGTTCCTTAAGGACAGGAAATACATGTTACTTGTATATTGTAATATTCCTAATATTTAGCAAATATTTCTACATTTAATAAGCACTAAAATTTGCAACAGTAGAAACAAAATGTGCCAATTCTCCATTTAATGTTCTGATAAATTATTCAGCAACTCACAGTGTACAGAAGAAAGACACTGGAATTATATCACTGATAGGTTAGATTACTGTTACCAACTCTGCAACTTGTTGACCTTGAATGAACATGTTTAATAAGTTCCTTTTATCCAGAAGTAGGATTACTTGATCATATGGTAGTATTATTTTTAGTTTTTTGAGAAACCTCCATACCATTTTCCATAATGGCTGTACAAATTCATATTCCCACCAAAAATGTACAAGAGTTCTCTTTTCTCCACATCTTAGATAATACTTGTTATTGTTCTTGTTTTTGATAAAAGATATTCCAAGAGGTGTAAGGTAATATCTCATTGCAGTTTTAATTTGTATTTCCCTAATATTTAGCAATGCTAAGTATTTTATCATTGTATTAGTCTGTTCTCACACTGCTAATAAAGACATACCTGAGACTTGGTAATTTATAAAGAAAAGAGGTTTAGTGGACTCACAGTTCCACATGGCTGAGGAGGCCTCAAAATCATGGTGCAAGGTGAAGGAAGAGCAAAGACGTGTCTTACATAGTGGCAGGCAAGAGAGCACGTGCAGGGGAACTGCCCTTTATTCAACCATCATATCTCATGCAACTTATTCACTATCACTAGAACACCACGGGAGAAACCCATCTCCATGATTCAATTACCTCCCACTGGGTTCCTCCCACGACGTGGAAATTATGGGAGCTACAGTTCAAGATGAAATTTGGGTGGGGACACAGCAAAACCATATCAATCATTTATATATGGGTTATTTGTAGGTCTTCCTTTTGAAAAATGTCTGTTCAGATCCTTTGCCCATTGTTTAATCAGGTCATTTGTTTTCTTTCTATTGAGTTACTTGAGTTCCTTATATATTTTGGATATTAACCCTTTATCAGATGTATAGTTCGCAGTTATTTTCTCCCATTCTGTGGATCATCTCTTCACTTTGTTAAATTGCTTCCATTGCTGTGTGAAAACTTTTTAGTTTAATGCTATGCCATTGGTCTATTTTTGCTATATTTTCATTTATTTGTGTTTTCTTTAATTTATTTTATCACCATTATATAGTTTTCAGTATACAAGTGAGTTACCTTCTTGGTTAACTTAACATCTAAGTATTTAATTATTTTGTTCCAATTGCAAATGGGATTGTTTTCTTAATTTCCTTTTCAGATAGTTTGTTATCAGTATATAATAATACTCCCTGTTTTTGTATGTTGATTTTATATCCTGAAACTTTAGTGAATCATTTTATCAGTTCTAAACAGTTTTTCAGTAGAGTCTTTAGGGTTTTCCATTTAAAACATTGCATTATTATCAAATAGGAACAATTTAACTTCTTACTTTTCTATTAAAATGTTATTTATTTCTTTCTCTTGGCTAATTTCCCTGGCTAGGGCTTCCAGTACTATATTGAAAATGAGGGCTGGGTGAGGTGGCTCATGCCTATAATCCCAGCACTTTGGAGGCCATGGTGGGTGGATTACTTGAGCTCAGGAGTTGGAGACCAGCCTGGGCAACATGGCAAAACCCTATTTCTACCAAAAATACAAAAAATAGCCAGGCATTGTGATGGGCACTTGCAGTCCCAGCTGCTCAGGAGGCTGAAGTGGGAGGATTGCTGGAGCCCAGGAGGTGGAGGTTGCAGGGAGCTGAGATTGCACCACTCCACTCCACCCTTGGCAACAGAGTGAGACTCTGTCAAAAGAGAGAGAGAGAGAAAGAGAGAAAGAGGGAGAGAGAGAGAGAGAGAGAAAGAAAGAAAGAAAGAAAAGAAAGAAAGAAAGAAAGAAAAAGAGGAAAGAAAGAAAAAAGAAAGAAAGGAAGAAAGAGAAGGAAAGAGAAAAGAAAGAAAAGAAGTGGTGAGAGTATCTTTGTCTTCTGATCTTAGAGAAAAAGCTTTCAGCTTTTCACCATTGAGAATGATGTTAGCTACAGATTTGTCATGTATGGCCTATAATGTCGAGGAACATTTCTTCTATACCTAATCTGTGAGAGTTTTTATCATGAAAGAATGATGACATGCTCTTTCTACATCTATTGAGATGATCATATGATTTTCATGCGTCATTTTGTTCATGTGGTGTATAACATTTATTTATTTGCATATGTTAAACCATCCTTGCATCTCAGGGTTAAATCCATTGATTGTTGATGTTGTTTGAATCTGTGTCCCTACCTGAATCTCATGTCGAGTTGGAGAAGCAGCCTGGTGGGAGGTGATTGGATCATGGACGCAGACTTCCCCTTGCTGTTCTCCTGATAGTGGTTAGTTTTCGCGAGACCTGGTGGTTTCAAAGTGTGTGGCACCTACTCTTCACTCTCTGTCTCTCCTGCTCTGCCATGGTAAGATGTGCTTGCTTCCCCTTTTCCTTCTGCCATAAAGTTTCCTGAGGCCTCCCAGCCATGACTCTGTACAGCCTGCAGAACTGTGAGTCAATTTTCTTCAGAAATTACCCAGTCTCAGGTACTTTTTTATAGCAGTGTAAGAATGGCCTGACACAGTCATGGTAAATTATTCCTTTAATGTGTTATTAAATTCGTTTTGTTCAGAATTTTTGCATCTATGTTCATCAGGGATATTTGTCTGTAGTGATTTTTTACTTGTAGTGTCCTTGTCTGGCTTTGGTATTAGGCTAATTCTGGTCTGACAACATTAATTTGAAAGTGTTCGATCATTAAAAAGTCAGGAAACAACAGGTGCTGGAGAGGATGTGGAGAAATAGGAACACTTTTACACTGTTGGTGGGACTGTAAACTAGTTCAACCATTGTGGAAGTCAGTGTGACGATTCCTCAGGGATCTAGAACTAGAAATACCATTTGACCCAGCAATCCCATTACTGGGTATATACCCAAAGGATTATAAATCATGCTGCTATAAAGACACATGAACACGTATGTTTATTGCAGCACTATTAACAATAGCAAAGACTTGGAACCAACCCAAATGTCCAATAATGATAGACTGGATTAAGAAAATGTGGCACATATACACCATGGAATACTATGCAGCCATAAAAAATGATGAGTTCATGTCCTTTGTAGGGACATGGATGAAGCTGGAAACCATCACTCTCAGCAAACTATCGCAAGGACAAAAAACCAAACACCGCATATTCTCACTCATAGGTGGGAACTGAACAATGAGAACACATGGACACAGGAAGGGGAACATCACACACTGGGGCCTGTTATGGGGTGGGGGGAGGGGGGATGGATAGCATTAGGAGATGTACCTAACGTTAAGTGACAAGTTAATGGGTGCAGCACACCAACATGGCACATGTATACATACGTAACAAACCTGCACATTGTGCACATGTACCCTAAAACTTAAAGTATAATAAAGAAAAAAAAAAGTTTTCGTTCCATTTTGATTTTTTGGAAGAGTTGGAGAAGAATTGGTATTTGTTTTTTAAAAAATGTTTGTTAGAATTCATCAATAAAACTGCTTGATCCTGGGCTTTTTCTTTTTTATGGGAAGCTTTTTACTACTGATTCAATCTCACTACTAATTGTTAGTCTTTTCAGATTTTCCATTTTTATTATTTAATCTTTCTAGGTGTTATGTATCTGGAATTTATCCTTTTTTCTACAGTACCCAATTTGTCAACATATAATTGTTTATAGTAGTACCTTATTATCCTTTGTATTTCTTTAATATCAGTGGTAATCTCTCCTCTTTCATTTCTGAGGTTATTTTTTCGAGTCTTCTCTCTTCTTTTTTTCCTAGCTAACCTGGATAAGGGTTTGTCTATTTTGTTAATCTTTTCAAAAAAAACTATTCTTAATTTTGTTGATCTTTTCTATTGTTTTTCTAGTGTCTATTTCATTTATTTCTGCTCTATTTGTCATTTCTTTCCTTTAACTTTGGCCTAATTTGTTTTTCTCTTCATAGTCTCTTGAGGTTTAACATTAGATTGTTTGTCTGAGATCCTTCTTTTTTGATATGGGCATTTATTGCTCTATATTTACCCAATAGGATGGCTTTTGATGCATCCCACAAGTTTTAGTACATTGGTTTTCATTTTCATTTTACTGAAGGCATTTTGTGACTTCCTGTTTTATTTATTCTGTGACTCATTGGTTTTTCAGGGAGGCATTGTTTAATTTCCACATATTTTTGTATTCTCTAAGATTACTCCTGTTATTGATATTTTATGCCATTGTGATCCCAAAAGATACTTGATATAATTTCAATTAACTTGAATTTGTAAAATTTATTTTGTGGCCTAATATATTTTCTATTCTGGAGAATGTTTTGTGTGCAAACATGTATTAAAGGAAGCACCAATACAGCTTTCAGCAGAAAGTATAATTTAAATCCAATGTTTATTTATTGATTTTCTGTCTATATTATCTTTTCATTGTTGAAAGTACTGAGCTCCTCTACTACAATAATATTGCAGTCTAGCTCTTCCTTCAGCTCATTTAATAATTGCTTGACATATTCAGGTGCTCTGATGTGTAGTGTGTATTTATTCACAATTGTTATGTCCTCTTGGTGAATTCATCCCTTCATCATTATGTAATCACCTTGTCTGTTTTATAATGTTTTACTTCAATACTATTTTATCTAAGTATAAATTACCCTACCTTCTTCAGATTTTTATTTATATGGAATTATTTCCCTTCCTTCACCTTCAGTCTGTGCGTCCATGTTAGTAAAGTGAGTCTCTTGTATAAAGTATATGGTTGGATCTTTTTTTTTAATGCATTCAGCAACTCTGTGTCTCTTTATTGGAGATTTTAATCCATGCACACTTAACATAATTATTGATAGGTAAATACTTGCTACTGCCACTTGGTAATTTGTTTTCTTATTGTTCTGATTGGTCTTTTGGTATTTCTTTTTTTTCCTCTCTATCTTCCTTTGTGACTGTATGGTTTTTGGTAGTGGTATGCTTTGAATCCTTACTTTTTATATATTGTGCAACCGCTGTAGGTTTTTGCTTTGTGGTTATCATAGGCTTATTACATAAAGCATCTTATCCTTATAGCAGGTTACTTCAAGCTGCTAACAACTTTAATTTCATTCAGAAACTCTACACTTTCACTTCTTCCTCTCCCAAACACTTTTTCTGATTTTAATATCAAATTTTTACATTTTCCTTTCTTTTATAATTTGTTTCTCAAAAGCAATTTATTGTGACCTTAGTTGTTTAAAATGATTTTTTTTTCTTTTAATCTTCATGGTGTGGATACAATTGTTTACATACCACTCTTGCAGGATTAGAGAATTCTGAGCATGACTACGTATTATTTATACCATTGAATTTTCCACTTTTGTATGTTTTTGTTATTAACTGGTAGCCTTAAAGAACTTCCTTTCACAATTCTTTTAAAGCAGGCATAGTGATGATGACCTGCCTTAGCTTTTGTTTGTCAGGGTAAGATTTTATTTCTCCCTCAGTTTGTAAGTACAACTTTACTGGGTAAATTATTATTGGTTGAAAATTTTGATTGTTTGTTTGTTTGCTTTCTTAAGCACTTGAATACATCATTCCACTCTCTTCTGGCCTGCAGGATTCCTGCTGAGAAATCTGCTGAAAGCTGTATTGGTGCTTCCTTCAATACGTTTCTTACCTCTTGCTGTTTTCTTTGTCTTTGATTTTTGGTAACTTGATTGAGATATGTCTTGGTGAACTCCTCTTTGAACTGAATTTTATTGGCCACCTGAGGGCTTCCTGTGCTTGGATTTTCATCATCTTTCCATAGATCTGGTGAATTTTCAGCCAATATTTGTTAAATATGTTTTCTAGGCCTTTCTTTTCTTTTGTTTTCTGGAACTCCTGCTATGTGAATATCACTTCACTTTACGGTGTCCCGTAATTCCTATGGTTCTTTATTCTTTTTCATTTTTTCTCAAAAAGAGATTGAATAATTTCAAATGTCCTATCTTTGAGCTTGATGATTCTTTCTTCTGCTTAATCAAGTCTGCTGTTGAAGCTTTCTATTGAATTTTTCAGTTTAGTTATTGTATTCTTTACCTCTAGGATTTCTATTTTTAATTGTTACTATGTCTTTTTCAAAAAATTCTCATTTTGTTCACACATTGTATTTCAAATTGTATTTACATTTCTATATTTTTTTTATTTCCCTGAGCTGCTTTGTAAGGATTATTTAAAATTCTTTGTCAGTCATTTCATAGATCTTCATTTCTTCTAGGTACATTATTGGACCTTTATGGTTTCTTTTGTGGTGCCACATTTTCCTGATTTTTTAATAATTCTTGTGTCCTTATGTTGATGCCTGTATATTTGATGAGACAAATCCTTCTTTCAGCCTTTGTGGACACTCTTTGGTGGTAATAGTTCTTTACTATTTAGTCTAGGCTGAAAATTCTAGATGAGTTGGCTGGTAGCACCACAAGGCAGAAAGATGTTGGTGTCAGATTTTCTGGTTGAGCTGGGTCACTTCCTGTTCTCTGAGGTCTAATGATACGGTTGTCTATGCTCCATGCTCTGGTGAGACCTCTGGCTAAATTCTGCTGTCAGGCAGAGTTGCTAGCTAGGCTCTGTGGTATTCTGTGACCAAGAAGGGCTGCAGGTTGTCCTCCCTGGTTAGGAGACACTGTTATTTGGAATCTATAGTTGGGCAGAGTCATGTGCTGGGATCTGAGGCTAGGTAAGGTATCTCAGGTTGCTACTTAGCCACACAAAGTGGGCAGGGTGAGAGGCAATGCTCTGTATATATGATGAACTTGGGCTTGCTTTTCTGCCTCGGATAGGCTTAAATAGAGCACAAAGGCTTGGTGGAGTTGCTGCTCAACAGCTGGGGTTGGATGTGTACAGATGTGCCCTCTTCACTTTATCACTGACTTGAAATTGTCTCCAGATGTGAGAAAGACTTAGCTAAACCACAAAGGCTCTGTGAGGAAGCTGGCTAGGGACTCAAACCTGGTAAACCTGTGAACTATGATTCCTGCAATGTGATATCATTGGCTGGTCCTCTAATATGGCACCTTTGTTGACCAGAATGCAGAGCGATGAATTCTAAAATTAT
Organism: Homo sapiens; assembly: GCF_000001405.40. Lineage (NCBI taxonomy): Eukaryota > Metazoa > Chordata > Mammalia > Primates > Hominidae > Homo > Homo sapiens. The sequence goes on from NC_000002.12 coordinate 188,929,913, forward strand.
TCTCCAAATGTCCTATTCTAATATCTGAGAATGTGAATAAAATAGATAGTATTCCCATGATTAGATTATGCTATGGCACAGTTGACTCTAAAACAGAGATTATTTAAGTGGTCCTGACCTAATTGTAAGAGTCCTCAAAAGCCAAGAGTTTCTTATGGCTGATTATAGAAGAGAACAACAAGAATTTGAAATTCAGGAAGGATTTTACATGCCATTGTTGATTTGAAGATGGCAGACTTTACTTGCCAAAGAACAAGAGTGACCTTTAGGAGCTGAGAGCAGTTCTCAATTGATAGTGAACAAGAGAATGAGAACCTCAACCCTACAACTGCAGGAAATAAGCATAAGCTTAGAAGTAATATTTTCACTGAGGCCAGGCACAGTGGCTCACACCTATAATCCCTACTCTTTGGGAGGCTGAGACAAGAGGATTCTTGAAGCCATGAGTTCGAGACCAGCCTGACCAACATGGTGAAACCCCATCTCTACTGAAAACGCAAAACTTATCCAGGCAGGGTGGCACATGCTTGTAATCCCAGCTACTCAGGAGGCTGAGGCATGAGAATCACTTGAACCCAGGAAGTGGAGGTTGCGGTAAGCTGAGATAGTGCCAATGTACTCCAGCCTGGGCGACAAAGTGATATCCTGTCTCAAAAAAAAAAAAAAAAAGAAAAGAAAAAAAGTAGTATTTCCACTGAATCTCCAGATGAGAACTAAACCATTCAACATGTAGATTTTAGCCTTGTGATACTCTGAGCAGAAAACCCAGCACACTATACCCACTATACCAAACTTCTAAATGATCAAATTTTAAACTAATTAGTGGATGTTGTTTCAAGCCACTAAGTTTGCAATAATTTGTTGCACGAAAATCAAAAAGCTAATGCTAACCAAGCTGGCCTCATTTTTAAATGTAAGTTTAATAGTTGTAAATGCATACTACACAGAAAACTATCATTTAAAAGATAAATAAAGTATATTTTTCGTGGAAGAGCTTTGATATGGCATTTCAAACTTTCTTTGGGCAAACATAAATCTAATTTATCCCTCCAAGTATAAATGATTCCATTTCTAAGCCATTCCAGAAAACCCTTTCCCAATGTATTTCTGTGTTAAATAATTCTCACAACTATGAAATTTCCTTCTAAATCTTCATTTCCTCAGGTTAGTGGCCGCTAGTGTAATATATGGATACTATCTGCTGCTCCTACCTAGGCATCTTACACCTTATATAAAAAATGTATACATACTGTTGTGAAAAAGTAAAAATACATAAATAATCTCCTTAAAGCTGTTAGACCTGGGAGGCAGAAGTTGCAGTGAGCCGAGATATCGTGCCACTGCACTCCAGTCTGGAAACAGTCTTGTCTCAAAAAAAAAAAAAAAAAAAAAAAAAAGAAACTGTTAGAGATGGAAGGGAAGGGGAAAGAACTGCAAATGGGACCTAGAATGGCAGCAAGAACCCAGGGAATTTTAGCAACCATTTTGTTTCTCTTTCATAAACTGCAGGATTTTTCTCTTCATGCATTTCTTAACAACAATTTTCTCTGACTTCTAAAAATTTTAGCTTCATTTTGTCATAATATGATTCACATGTATGGCAGTTTTTTGAGTTCTGATCTTTTTCTCAATTGGCAAATCATTTCCATACTTCTGACTCAGTGTTGTAAGAGAGAGAACCTGGCTGGATAAGCTCACTTTATTCCACCAGTCCACATTTAAGGCCAGTAGCCAGTCTAAGGAAGGCTACCACTGGATCCCTGAGGCAAAAGAAGGGTGAGATCACAAGCTCTAAAATTGATTACCTGTGCAAACAATAGAGATAGCTGCTTCCAAGAACAGACTTTGCCCAGTGGTCATCAGCTCTAATAAAGACTTCATATTGGCCGGGCGCGGTGGTTCACGCCTGTAATCCCAGCACTTTGGGAGGCTGAGTCTCGCAGATCACGAGGTCAGGAGATAGAGACCATCCTGGCTAACACGGTGAAACCCCGTCTCTACTAAAAATACAAAAAAATTAACCAGACGTGGTGGCGGGTGCCTGTAGTCCCAGCTACACCGGAGGCTGAGGCAGGAGAATGGCATGAACCCGGGAGGCGGAGCTTGCAGTGAGCTTAGATCATGCCACTGCGCTCCAGCCTGGGCGACAGAGTGAGACTCCGTCTCAAATAAATAAATAAATAAATAAATAAAACACTCATATTTATTTTCTCCATCTCTCTGATTTACAAACTAAAATTTGCCTTATCTCTTCCTACTGAAATAACAGAAAAATCACACTTACTAATAGGTGGGAGACGTAGGTACAAAAACAAATCTCTGCAATTGAACAATTACAATGTAACTAAGCTTTCCACAGAAGATTTTACTCAAAAATAATTTTCTGGAATGTTACTATAGTTGTGTTATAACTATACGTCTATAAAGGTAAGTGGAAAATTAAACTGAGCCAAAGTTAATTTTGAAACTATCAGATAATCAGAACTGAGCTGGGAATAAAGTTATTAAATCATGTCCCTCAATCCTTCAAAAAATATCAGCCAATAAATAAGAACTTTGGTTTGACATTGCTTATATTAAAGTGAACATTCTGGTCCTAATTAGCTAACAGTAAACAATGCTCCAATCAAACAGTTCTTTAATTTCAAGAATGTAATAAATGTTATACAAGTTCCAAGGAGATGATATCACCTTTTTCTTATATAACTAAAAATAACCTGTAAACTTAATCTTGCCTTTGGATAATTAATGATTCCCAGACACATACAGAACAGGAGAGAAAGGCACAGCTGAAGGGGATAATAGTATGAGTAAGAGTAAAGCAAAGGTGAAAACGGATAATGCCAGTTGAGATACTGCGAAGACATGGAACAAACCATTAATAAAGTGTTTTAAAAGTTGGTTTGTAGTAGATTAAGCCCTTGATATACAGGATGTATGGATAGAAATGTGTAAAATACACTGCTCATAACAATCTAATGAGTATAAGATAATACATTTGATGGCCGGGCATGGTGGCTCACACCTATAATCCTAGCACTTTGGGAGGCCAAGGCGGGCGGATCACCAGAGGTCTCGAGTTCAAGACCAGCCTGACCAACATGGAGAAACCCTGTCTCTACTAAAAATACAAAATTAGCTGGGCATGGTGGCTCATGCCTGTAATCCCAGCTACTCGGGAGGCTGAGGCAGGAGAATTGCTCGAACCCAGACGGTGAAGGTTGTGGTGAGCCGAGATCGCGTCATTGCACTCCAGCCTGGAAACAAGAGCAAAACTCCATCTCAAAAAAAAAGAAAGATAATACATTTGATAACAATAACTGAGGTTTGTCCGGCCTTTAGTTAACTTTATGTCAGGACCTGTTCATATATATATATATATATTATATATATAAAATATATATATATACACACAAACACATATATATACATATATATACATATATACATGTATATATATATACATGTATATATGTATATATATGTGTGTATATATATATGAACTTAGTTTTCACAATAATCTTTTGATATAGATGTTATTGCTATTCTCCATTTTACAAATGAGGAATTTGAGGCAAAGTGATTAAATGACTTGCCCAAGCTCAAATAGCTAAAAGAGAAAGTTAAAACCAAAAATATCTTATATGCTAATATCTACTTTTTGTCACTAAACCTACTTTTTCTACCCTGTGTACTTTTCTCTTTTGTGTGTTTTAAGAAAATTAGCTACAGTCTGTAAAGAAATCAATTATATACATGTGAGTATGTGGAGCTATAGATGAGTATGTTTCTATGTTAACTATTTCAAGAGCTAATGGCAACATGAAATCCAAGTTTGGCTTGGATTAGAACAAGCACAAACTTGTTGAACCTAAAATGTATATTCATTATATTCATTTTTTAAATGCATTTGGAAAACTAATAAACAACAATTATTTTATGGGTAAATTTCCTAGTAAGCCATTTTAAACTCTGAAATGTTTTGACTATCCAAGGCAACATTCAATATGCCATTTATTTCAAAGAGCATATAGTTTATAACTCCGAGTTGTTATTTATCCCCAGCTCCCACAGTTTATCCATTTGGAGACTACAAATTTGAATTCCTTTTTCAGAATTTAACTATGTTTTCCTTCATCTAGTTTATAAAATTGAGATCTATGGAAGTGTATTAGTTCTTGCATTTGTATAAAGAAATGCCTGAGACTGGGTAATTTATAAAGAAAAAATGTTTAATTGGCTCATGTTTCTGCAGGTTGCACAGAAAATATGGTGCTGGCATCTGCTCAGCTTCTGGGCAGGACTGAGGAAACTTACAATAATGGGGAAGGTAAGGGAGAGTGAGCATTTCACATGGCTGGAGTAGGAAGAAGAGAGATGGGAGAAGATGCCACACACTTAAACAACCAGATTTCATGAGAACTCTATCAGGAGAAAAGCACCAAATGGATGATGCTAAACCATTCATTAAGGACTCACTTCCATGATTCAATCACCTCCCACCAGGCTCCATCTTCAACACCGGGGATTACCATTGAACATGAGATTAGGGTGGGGACGCAGATCAAAACCATACCAGGAAGCTTCTTGTCAATTTATTCTTCGGAGGCCAACAATTTGTGATAAATACTAGTCTTAAAAATAAAATTAAAAAGCTGATTTTCATAAGAAAAAAAATCCTAGCATTTTTTGTGGTGTCTGTTTATGATTGTTGAAAGGACTGATATAGAAAAGAAAACATCAAATGAATTATCAATTAGTGATTTTTTTCTCTAAATTTGCACTTAGCTACTAATATTTATTGATCTTGCCCTTTTGTCAGTCAAGTTCAGGGAGGTGGAGAAGCATACTTCCCGACCACTCCATTTAGCATCTTCAGGCACTAGAGCCCTATGTATTATTGATGTATTTTATTCCAATGATAGGCTAACACTCTTGGTTGAAAAAGTTTTCATTAATCAACTACTCATATACTGAATTTAACTGAAGCCTGGAGGCATCAAGATCCTAAAGAAACAGGATCACCATAAGCTTGCATAAAAATGTAGAGGTACTGACCTGTTCAAATGACAGTGGTTAGTAAATTAGTAGTTAATAGTAAATTAGTTTCATTTTAAATAAAATTACATTAGTAGTACATTAATGTTATTTTTAAACAATCTTTGAAATCTTTGAGTAATTGGTTTGGATTTTCCAAATGAAAGTTCTTTGCACATAAAAACTTCTACAACTTACTGAAATGTGATGGTTTTCCTTTGATTCAGGAAACTCTTCATGTGGTCTTTTCATGTTTTCATTGTCTCTAAGTTAACTCTAGTGGTCTAACTGACCCAAAAATTTCAGCAACTTTGAAAGAAACCACTGAAGTTTATATAGTTACATTAGACATTTCTCTAAAGCCATTTCATTTCAAGCTATTTTAGCTGTATACAGTCACTTTCAAATGGCATATTTGTTTTCTTTTATCTTTCTTTGTCCTGTCAAAGGTCTTAATTACTTTCTAAGTGGATATCTAGTAATTAAATTATAATCTAATATTTATATGAAAGTTGAAGACTTTATTGCTTTAGACTTTCAATCTCCTGCAAAGATAAAAATCAGGTAATTTCTTTACCAAGTAACATCTGATTTGTATATGCAGTGTTTAATGAATATCATCTAAATGGTCTCTCAGGTGTTCATGCATACGTAAATCACCTAACAAGGAAAGCTTACTAGTGCTCAGCTACATTTGCAGTTTATTCCAGAATTTTTTTCCTGGAATTTTTCTTCTAAGAGCAGACTTTGGGTCATATTTTCTTTATCCCATGAAATGTCATCAGAGGTGGCATGCCAATTACCAGTAGGAACAATTAAGAGTGGTCCAGGCTGGGCGCAGTTGCTCCCACCTCTAATCCCAGTACTTTGGGAGGCCGAGGTGGGTTGATCACGAGGTCAGGAGTTCAAGACTAGCCTGGCCAAGAGGGTGAAACACCATCTCAACTAAAAATACAAAAATTAGCTGGGCGTGGTGGCAGGTGCCCGTAATCCCAGCTACTTGGGAGGCTGAGGCAGAGAATTGCTTGAACCCAGGAGGCGGAGGTTGCAGTGAGCTGAGATCACGCCACTGCACTCCAGCCTAGGTGACAGAGCAAGGCTCCAACAACAACAATAGCAAAAAAAAAAAAGTGGTCCAATTCTCTGTATCATCTTCACCTAACCTAGAGAACCCTAAAGTTAATATGACAGCAGAGCCTATTGAGTGACCCATAGTGATCTGTAGTGATATGTAGCATAAAGACAAAATAAATCTCTGTTATTTTAAGAGTTCTTGGTATACTATAAATACAAGTCTTTTATCAGATATGTGTAATTTCTCCCAGTCTGTGGCCTGTCTCTTCACTGTTATCAGTGTCATTTACAGAGAAAAACTTTTTAATTTTAATAAGGTGCAAATTTTTTTTTCAATGCATTGTGCTTTTGGTATTATATTTAAAACTAATACCTGAACACCAAGTCATGAAGATTTTCTCTTATTTTTCTTCTAGAAGTTCTATGGATTTGCATTTTACATTTATATCTTTGATCCATTTTCACTTAATTTTGTGTGAGGTATGAGATTTATGTGTAGGCTTGGATATCCAATTATTTCAATGGCATTTCTTGAAAAGACTGTCCTGTTTCCATTGAATAACCTTCGCACCTTGTCAAAATCAGATGGCTATACCTATATGTGTTTACCTTTGGGCTCTCCATTTTGTTCCATGAATTAATGTATCTAATTTTTTTGTGAATACAAGACTGTTTTGATTATAGTAATTTTATAATAAATTTTGAAATCCAGTAATGAGATTACTCCAATTGTTTGTTTTCAGAATTGCCTTTGTTTTTCCAGTCTCTCTGCCTTTCCATATAAATTTTAGAATATTTTTTATATTTACAAAAAAAGGTTGCTGGGATTGTGATTGGTATTATATTTAATCTATAGATCAGACTGAGAAGAACTGACATCTTAACACTATGGAGTCTCCTAATCCAGAGGCATATCTTTTTTCCTATTTAGATATTGTTTGATTTATTTCCATAGTAATTTGCAGCTTTCTACATACATATTTTGTACACATTTTGCTACATTTACAACTATTTATTTCATTTTTATTTTTGGTGCTACTACTTTTTTTTAACTTCAAATTCCAGTTTGTCATTGCTGGTACACAGGAAAACAATTGGCTTGTGCATCTTGCTTTAAACTCTTGAAATTTTTGTTTCTTTAACAATTGACTATCTCTTAGTGATTATAAAAATAGAACCTAAAGCATAATTATTCCCTTTAAAAAAATCCTAAAATATGTCATGCTCTCTTAGGGACACAATAGCTGGTGTTGGGAAAACTGAATCTGGAAACTGAAGATAGTGATGTTTGCCCTACAGCATGGAGATAAAACATTTGCTGAAGCCTATAATAACATGCAAGACAGCTCATGTTCCCAATGCACTTGTAGCTCTAGGGGAGCATATTGGAAAGCAAATGTTGGTTGTGTGTATTGGTTACCACTGGATAGTTTTGCAATACATTGCAAAAAAAACAGAAGAACTCAGGAAAGAATTAGTCAGTTTCCAAAGACCAGGAGAAAGGAAATAGAATAAGTCCAGAAAGTACTTTTTTCATCCCAAACAACCAAAGATTGAGAAATACTTTGTGAGTCCAACATTCACTAAAATCTTTTAATTGATTAAATTACCTCTGGGCATGGAGCAGATTAGGGTATACAACTCTGTAATTTTGTTTTTAGTTTTTTCAAAAAGGATTCATTATTACATGCTCAAGTCTCAAAGGACCTAACACAAAGGACAGAGTGAGAGTGAGAAAGAGCATGAGAGAGAAAACAAAGAAATGTTAGCAGTTCTGGCAACTGTATCTCAGAAAATAGTGTCAGTCTAGTTACAGACCCATGAATAAAATCAGATAGATAATAAGTTTGGTGAGTCTCTGAGAGAGCAGTACTTCCAAAAGAACCAGGAGTCTGTTTCTCCAGACTTTAAATGATCTTTGAGCACCCAACCATATATAGGCAGGAAATGAGTTAAGAAAGCAGCACAGAGTATTCCCTATGGCCTACTTTAGATGTGGCCAAGAAATATATTGGAAAAAGCAAACTCTTTCAGAGGGTGTAGCTAGCGACTTGCAAAACAATGAACAAAGGAGCTCTTCCCAAGGAATAGAATCAGAGCATAACCAAGGAACATTCCACACCTCCAAGATAGTGAAGCTCATAATATCTTCCCAGTGAAATTTTAGAATTGATGTGAATCAGGGCCTGTAGAAAGTAAGTCCCCTATTCTTCCCGTTTCTGAAGGACAGTGTTTATTATCTTCCTTTTCCATCATTGCATATTGTGGGTCTGGGGCAGCACAGGGTGGGTGAGTGATTGAGTAGGTGGTGCAATTTAGCTTGATTTAGGTCACTCTTCCCTAGATCAAAGCAAGCCAAATTCAGACCTAATGAACAGACCAGTGCACATCGTTAGAGACGGCTTGAATTTTAAGTTCTATACCGTGACTGGAATGACTATTGAGTTGTCTCTCTCTAAGCGGTATTGAGTATGCACCGCCTGTGGGAAGGAGAGTAATCAGAATACTTAGTGATCAAAAAAGCAAACTGTAATAGATGTTATTATAATATTCCAAGAATTCTAGGTCTCCTCTCCTTCCATAATCATTCACTTTTTATGTCTAAGTATAGTCCTAAGACTTACTTTGGTTAATGAAATGTGAGTGAAAGTGATGTGTCACTCTGCACAGAAGCATTTAAAAAACTCAATTCTCCATGTGTTTGTTGGTTTGTTATTTTATCCTACCATGGCTAAGTCTGAAGCCTCACTTCAAATGACAAAAGAACCTGAATCAAGGTAGTCTTTTTAGCAACCCCCTTCTCTGCCAACCCAGATTGTAAATGTATTATGAGAAAGAAGGAAAAAAAAATGATATTGTAAACCACGGACATATGGGAGTTTTTGTTTTACAGCATAAGGTTATCCTGATTATTGCACCAGGCACTTTGGAAGATTAAAACTCAACAACTTTGTAGCCAAATTAAGATGTTCAGATTATGCATGAAATTATCAAGGAAAAAATCGAGATTTTACATCCTTCCAAAATGCAGTAGTCATAATAAACATGTAAGAAGAATAATACATGCAGATCTGAAGCTAGGAAACCTTGTGAAGTTTGTTTTTTAAATCCTTCTACTTCCCTTTTCTGTGGATATTCTGTCTCCAGAGAGCCCTCATCTCTATCCACCAACCCTAACCTCTAAATATGTAATTATACACAATTTAGAACATGATGGTTTTGGAGAATATGCAAAAGCAGTGCCATTTGGAGTTAGCAAAAATTATCTCTATTATTTGGTTTGGAAATTGGAGAAACTCATATAGGATATAAAAAATAATGAACCGGTTTATACACATTTATCCCTAGGTGCAGTAGTCAATCATACTTTCCCTTCTCTTCTTTCTCTTACCTTCTCTTTTTTACTGTTATATTTTTCCTATAAATAAAAGAAACATCTTTTCCCCACTTTGTATTATTAGTATATGCTTTTAAAAAGGTAGTTTTAAGATAAAAAGCAACAATTTGGTATGATTTATCAGGATAATATATGCAATGGTATGTCCACTTAAGGTAATTTTTCTCAGAAATCTGTTTTAAGATGTCTTATCTACATATTATACAAAGTCAGAATGTGTTTCATTTTAGAACTTGAAAATTGAAACTCAGAGAAGTTCATTTATCTGGAATTTAATGATAACAGGGAAATTTAGGTGTTCTTGCTGGTGGAAGCAATTTTGACTAAATGGTAATGTAGGATCTCAAATTTCATAAGCATGAGGTATGCTATTCATTATATTGAGAAGTTTTACTAAATGTTCAAAGATATATTATAATTTTATTATAAAATGAAGGGAGATGCCTTATGGAATACATCCTAGTTCTCCTATCCCCCAAGATATTTTAACTATTATCCAGCAAACCATTTTCTTATACATTTCTTAACACCTAGATATGGCCTAAAGTTTCCAGTGTCTTACAGCTATAAGAAATTAAACATATAATATACTAAGCTCCAGGGACAAGAAATCAACAAATACCTATTTGCAAACAGCATTTTTCCAATATTATTTCAACATTAAATGGAAAACATGTTGGTTTTGATAAAATATTATTTAAAAAGTGTGAATTTATAAAGCTATAAAGTGTCAACACAAAATATACACGACAAATTAAGTCTGTTAGTATGGAAGACATTTTGATTCTCTCAGGAATATGTTCTCGGGATCAGACCATTTACTGAATGCTGTTTTCCATGACTGTGATGAGATTCAGCTGGGCCACTAACAATCTTCTCCAGGGAGCTGGCAAGTCGAAAGGGAATTGCTACAATTAGCGTCCCTGCTCCCCACTCCCACTTCACTGCCCTCAGTGAAATTGACTGTCTGGGAAGACAAAAGCATACAGACAGAGAATTCAACATCAAGTCTAAAGCAGTGCCAAAACCCACTTTATTTAATGTAGACAGTGAGTTTCCACCCACAGCTTCCATGTCCTGTAAGTGTTCCAGTCCTGTCGGCTCATGAATAATCTTTTCCTGTGGACAACTGCCAGTTACTTGATTATTATATTTTTCTTTCTAACTTTGAACTTGAATTATCTTTCGCCACTTGAAAGTCTTTCAAAAATATCCCCCAATAAAAGTTAACTCTTTCTTTTAATTTTTCTTTTTATTTATAGAAAATTTAAGAACATGAGCCTCACTAGCAGCACTAAAGAAGAATTAGTCAAAAAAAAATAGAATCTACACATTTTATTGGCAAAAAAGAAGAAACTGGTTGATAAAGGGAAAGTAGTTGATCTTTGATATTGTATATTATTTCTTTCAATGAAGGTCTCAACCTCTTCTTCTGTATCTTTTTTTTTAACTTTTTGGAAACTTGCATTGAATTTTTTCTCATATTCATTAGTATGGCCGTACTGGCTGGGTTTCTCCAATCTAATATTTTTCCTCTTAGCATTCTTCATTATAGCTCCTCCTACTTGAGAATAAGGCACTATATGTGACTTTATATATAATCCATTATGGCTATATTAGGCAAAAGAGAATTAAAAACTTAACCAAGCTCATTATACTCTTAGTACACTGACATTTTTACCAATAAATATGATAACAAGCAATATAGAAATGGTAATAATTGCCTCAAACACTGGACATAACTATCAAATCAAGAGACAACACATAGATATTCTTGAATTCTCATCTTCTATGTAAAAGTATAATAAATATTAAGCACTAGGTCTGGTTTACCTAGACCAACTAAAGTTTTCTATAAATTACAAAATTTTAAACTATATTTCATTAGGAAAATAATGTGTGAGGCTTAAATCTCATGAGGGATTGGTAAGGCTTGGTTTTTTTATTTGTATACATACATTGGTCCATATATGAATATGAAATACCTAATATGAAAAGGAATATAAACATGTCCTACCTTCTACAGAAAAATAACAAACTTAAGAGACTTTAAAAAATGCTATTTTCCTCAAAAACACTCTTTCTTTGTTACATCCTCAGGACACACAACATTTCCAGTTCCCGGGTAAATGCTTCCATTTCATTTGAGGACAGGTGCCATATGAGGTCAAGAGTACAGTGGTAGAACACGTAGTACACGTTGGCAGTAGGAGACATGACTTTTGGATAGAAAAATGAGAAACTAATACGTTTCCATCCAGAGTGTCAGTTAAAAACTCAGTATTTGGTAGTGATGACGGGTGGGTGGGGAGGGCTTTGTATGACTTTCTTTCTCTTGATGTTTTTTATGATGTTTCAAAAATATGTACACTGTTCCAAAATAAACCACCTAGTTTTAAATAATAACGTAATTGGAGAATTGTACAAATTTGATTGGTGCTAATTGGTTTGATATAAAAAATCTGCAAAGAATAAAATGGCTTTCCATAAGTAATTGTAGTATTCGATAGTAATAATAATAACACAATTAGCAAAGAAAATTATCTATGGAAGTTCTAAACAATTGCCATATGAATAAATTCCTATCCAGTTGGGAGGTGACAGAAAGATTTATGTTTTTATTAAAATCCAAGATTTCCTTCCATCTTCACTACAACACCTGTTGTCAAAATCCTTCAAAACTTTTAAGCAAGGGCACTAGCTATAAATCTTCTTGATATTTAGTAAATTAGTTTTTGAAATAATATGATTACTTATCATTTGCATCTCCTCTATTTTCCTACCTCATAACTTTTAATTTGAAGTAACTAGTTTAATCTTTACAGGTGCTACATAGAAAGTATTTAGTTTATTACAAGATTTGAGGAAACCTCTCTTTCCATACATTTGTTCACGTAAGAGTCCAGGATAGTAATTTCCATTGGCTTGTAACTTCCTGTCAGGGACAACCATAGTCTTTTATATTGATTGGAAGCACTGAGTTTACATCAGTTTCCTTTCGTTGTTGTAAAAATTACCATAACATTGTGGCTTAAAAAAAAACACATATTTATTATCTGATAATTCTAGAGGTCAGGAGTCCAAAATGAGTTTCACAGGCTAAAATCAAGATGTCATCAGGGCTGCCTTCCTTTCAAGAGGCTTAGAGGAGAGTCTGTGTTCCCGCCTTTTCCTGCTTTTAGAGGCTGTCCACATTACTCCACTTTACTTAGTTTGTTGTGTCCTCCCATCTTCAAAGTCAGCAGTAGCTGGTTGAGTCTTTCTCACATCATATCACTCTGACACTGACGCTTCTGCCTCTCTCTTCCACATTTATGGACCCTTCTGATTACCTTGACCCCACTCAGATAACACAGGATAATCACCCCATTTTAAAGTCTATTGATAAGCAACCTCAATCCCATCTGCAGCTTTAATTCCTTTTGCCATTGAACCTAATATATTCACAGCTTCCAGGAATTAGAATATGTGCACCTTTGGCAGGCTATTTTGCTGTTTGCCACGGGGTGTTCTTTACACATGTGTGAAATTGAGCATCCTAAGGAGGTGATTTTCAATATGAAATATTTGGTTACTAATGTATTTTCATGAACTTTCCCAAAAGCTAAAAACATCATCTGCTTCTTTTCTTAAGGTCATATTTTCATTATATTTAGCACTTTATTTCTCCAGAAAAAAAAAAGTTCAGAAATCCGTATTTCTTAAATGAGTCAGTTGCTGAGATTATATTCAGGCATGTAAATTAACTAAAACCTTAGTAGAATATTATGTAATTTCTAGATTTTAATAACTACATGTGGCTCAGCAATAGTTTCAATAGAGTAAATGAGTCTTTAATAATGACTAATTTGTAAGAAACTTTCCAAGCTTACACCTGTCTTCAAGATTGTCTTATGTACTAAAATATTTTATACATTAAGAGGACTTTACTTATATGCATACCTTACTTTTTAAATATTGCATAAAGCAAATTTAAGATAAAAGCACTGCTTTATTTATTGTTCCATATTCTCTAAAAGTGTTGTACATACTTTATTTTAACAAATCAAGACACAACCAGGCAAACAGGCGTGTTAGTGTGTCTGGAATGGGTGGGTTTTTGGTCTCACTGACTTCAAGAATCAAGCCGTGGAAACTCGTGCTGAGTGTTACAGTTCTCAAAGATGGTGTGTCCCGAGTTTGTTCCTTCTGATGTTTGGACGTGTTCAGAGTTTCTTCCTTCTGGTAGGTTCGCAGACTCGCTGGCTTCAAGAGTGAAGCTGCAGACCTTCCCAGTGAGTGTTATAACTCTTAAGGCGGCGCGTTTGGAGTTGTTCATTCCTCCCGGTGGGTTCGTGGTCTGGCTTGCCTCAGGAGTGACGCTGCAGACCTTTGCGGTGAGTGCTACCGCCCATAAAGGCAACGCTGTGGACTCACAGAGTGAGCAGCAGTAAGACTTACTGCAAAGAGACAAAACCGACACAACGTGGAAGGGAACCCAATCAGGTTGCTGTGGCTGGCTTAGGCAGCCTTCTTTAATTCCCTTATCTGACCCCACCCACATCCTGCTGATTGGTCCATTATACAGAGAGCTGATTGGCCCATTTTACAGAGAGCTGATTTGTCTATTTTACACAGAGCTGATTGGTCCATTTTACAAGGACCTGATTGGTCTGTTTTGACAGGGTGCTGATTGGTGTGTTTACAATCCCCCAGCTAGACACAGAGTGCTGATTGGTGCATTTACAATACTCTAGCTAGACATAAAAGTTCTCCAAGTCCCCACTAGATTAGCTAGACACAGAGCACTGATTTGTGCCTTTACAAACCTTTAGCTAGACACAGAGTGCTGATTGTTGTGTTTATAATCCCTGAGATAGACACAGAGTGCTGATTGGTGCATTTATAATCCTCTAGCTAGACATAAAAGTTCTCCAAGTCCCCACCTGACTCAGGAGCCCAGCTGGCTTCGCCTAGTGGATCCTGCGCCAGGGCCACGGGCGGAGCTGCCCACCAGTCCCATGCCCTGCGCCTGCACTCCTCAGCCCTTGGGCAGGTGATGGGACCAGGCACCGCAGAGCAGAGGGCAGCGCCCACTGGTGAGGCTCGGGCCATGCGGGAGCCCACAGTGGGTGGGGCGAGGCTCGGGCATGGTGGGCTGCAGGTCCCGAGCCCGGCTCCGTGGGGAGGCAGCTGAGGCCCCGCGAGAATTCTGGCAGGCTGGCACTGCTGGGGGACCCAGCACACCCTCCACAGCTGCTGACCCTGGGTGCTAAGCCCCTCACTGCCCGAGGCTGGCGGGCCAGCCGGCCACTCCGAGTGCGGGGCATGCTGAGCCCACACCCACCTGGAACTGGTACTGGCCTGTGGTGCCAACGCCGGTTCCCACCCACGCCTCTCCCTCCACACGCACCCCCCCACACCTCTCTGCAAGCCGAGGGAGCCAGCTCCAGCCTTGAGCAGCCCAGAGAGGGGCTCCCACAGTGCAGCGGCGGGCTGAAGGGCTCCTCAAGTGTGTCCAGAGCGGACACCGAGGCTGAGGTGGCACTGGGAGCAAGCGAGGGCTGCTAACACGTTGTCACCTCTCATTACTATTCTCCTTTTGTAGATGAGAAAACAAGGGGCTCAGGTAAACTAACTGCTTTATCTAACATCACTCTTCTAGAAAATGGTACAGACCAACCCTCAACTCAGGGGTTCTGGTGACTTATAGTAAAGGGTACTTTCTACCACGGCATTTGTTATAGAGGATAATATAGTAGGAAACACTCATATAGAAACACAAACAAGATTAGCATCCATACTCAAACAAATAACCAAAATTTAGAGAAAGAAAATAACCCAATTTAAAAATGGGCAAAAGATCTGAATAGACATTTCTCAAAAGAAGACATGCAAATGGACAAAAGCTACATGAAAAAATACTTAACATCACTAATCATCAGGGAAATGTGAATTATAACCACAATGAGATATCACCTCATATCTGTTAGAACAGCCATTACTAAAAAGACTCAAAATAGGTATTGGTGAGGGTAAGGGAGAAAAGACAACCCTAGTACACTGTTATTAGAATGTAAATTAGGCCATTATATGATGGTGACTTAAAAAATAAAATTTAGAACTACCATATGATTCAACAATTCCACATCTGAGTATATATCCAAAGGAAATGAAATCAGCATGTCAAAGAGATATTTGAATTCCAGTGTTCATTGCAGCATTATTCACAGTAGCCAAGATATGGAATCAACCTAAGTGTCCATCATCAGATGAAGGATAAAGAAAATGTGATATATATACACAATGGAATACTATTCAGCCTTAAAAGAGACAGTTCTGTCATCTGCAACAAGTATGGATCTGGAGAAAATTATGTTACGTGAAATAACCCAGGCACAGAAAGAGAAATACCACATGATCTCATTAATAGGTGGAATCTAAAAAGAGTCAAAACTCTCAAAAGTGGAGTAGAATGGTGGTTACGAGAGGATGGAGAGACAATGGAGAGATGATGAAATATCACAAAATTTCAATTAGGTATAAATTCTAGGATCTATTGTACAACATGGTAAGTGTAGTTAATAATAATGTATTGTATACTTGAAAATTCCTAGGAGAGTAGATTTTAAATGTTTTCATAATAATAAGTATGTGAAGTAACAAATATGTTAATTAGCTTAATCATTCCACATTATGTATATATATCAAAACATCGCTTTGTACCACATAAATATATATACAATTTTGTCAGTTAAAAATAAATAAATTTAAATTACAGTAGCATTCACAATAATAAATTTATGAACACTCAGTGGAAACAAATTTATGAAAGTAAGTTTCAGCTTCACAAGGAGAAATTGTGATTTTGTCTTAGACTATGTTGCCACTCACCACTAGGATTTTACTTTTTCACTCATCATTGTCATTTCCCTCTTTAAGAATGTACGTCACCAAAATGAAATATTTGACCAATAATTATGGTCACCAAGCTTCCTCGTCTTTGTTTATTTGCTAGAAAGTGTACAAGTTGAAACTAGAACATTGAGTGACAAACAGAAGCTGAAAGAAGGAACTAGGAAAAACCTAGGATGAGATTCCAATAACTGTTTTCAAAGACATGAGAGGTTCACTGTAAATTACTGACTTCATGCCTCAGGAGAAACCAATTAATCTCTAGGTGCCTCAATTTCCTCACTTATGAAACTGGGATAAAATATTTCCCACAAAATTCACAAGAATAAAAATACAATGTGTAATTATAATTAATTTTTGGCTAATGCAAGGGTATAATAAACTCAAGATTTTTATTTGAGAAATTTCACATTGTTTTGTTTTGTTTTCTGATACTGTAAGTCCTCCATAAGCATATTTCAAAGCACTTTTCTCTGTAATTATCAAAGTCAAAAATTAAAAAAAACTAATCATGGAAAATGAGTTTTACTTTCCTTTACTTCTTTACCAGACATCTTACATTTTTCTTGACATAATCTTATTTGTTAGGTACAGATTGCCAATACTTATTAGGTTTGGTTTTAATTTTGAAAATGCTGTGACTGAACCCCAAATCCATCTATTTTGTAACCATAGGTAAGTCTTTCATGCTGTATCTATAAACTGGCTAAAAACAGATATTACGATGAGATAAAAATTAAACTTTGAAGAGCCCCATGTGTGATAGAAATGTACCCATGTATTTCTTCTTCTGAAGGTAAAATTTCATGTGCATTTAACTATCAATGTGGTAAAAGTAATTTTTTCTTTTTTTCTTTTTTTTTTTTTTGAAACGGAGTCGTCTCCCTCTATCACCCAGGCTGGAGTGCAGTGACAGGATCTCGGCTCACTGAAACCTCTGCCCCCTGGGTTCAAGCAATTCTTCTGCCTCAGCCTTCCTAGTAGCTGGGATTACAGGTGCGCACTACCATGCCCTGCTATTTTTTTCTTTTTTTAATTTTTAGTAGAGACGGGGTTTAACCATGTTGGCCAGGGTGGTCTCAAACTCCTGACCTCAAGAGATCCACCCGCCTCCACCTCCCAAAATGCTGGGATTACAGGTGTGAGCCACCGCGCCCAGCCGATTTTTTCTTTTTGTGCTCCATTAGTTGCTGTAAATCACGCTACTTTTCGATTTGATTCATGACTTTTCGTATATTTCTTGGAGTGTCTAAAATGTCTTTATATTTTTGTTGTTGACCAAAAAAAAAGATGTTCTCTCAATCCTTAAATTTATCAATTTTTCAACAAAACTGTCTGATTTTCCTGTGGATATATGTCCTGGAGCCCTCAAGCTTGTGCAGCACTTGTACACACACGTGCAAAGATCTTGAATTGATCTGCCTCATATGAGCCTCATGTGTCACTCTCCTCTTTATATTTGCAAGCACTGACACTGAAATGCTCCCTCAATACCCCTTGGACAATTAGACTGTCATCATCATCAGCATGCCCAATTCTACTATTTTTGGAGTCCTGACCAAGACAATAAACAGAGGCTACATGAATATGGCTAAATATTTAAAGGCTGTAAGTTAACAAGCTGCTAATAAAGTTTGCTTTATCTTTGCTTCTTAACAAATGTATTCATTAATAAATTCAAAAGTCTTAATAAATTCAAAATTCTTAATAAATTCAATTTCTTAACATTCAGAAAAACATAATTTAAAAATAGATGTGTAAAGCCATAGTTTGTATATTACTGAAAGTCAAAATAATATCAAGGATGACTGAATTGAATCATTATTGTACATCTAGGCATTCTATCAGTGACCCGACATTTTTTAGGGAACAGGACTAAAATCAAGATATAGATAACTCACAAATTATCATTCACTTAGTCTATAAAATTTGCTTTTACTTATTCCCATTTCAGTATAATACGTGTTGTGTAATATAGAAACACAAAATAAAAATTAATTGTATTAAAATACACATAATTTACTATTTGTATTAAAAATATAAATGTAAAAATCAAAATGATTGTTATATTTGCACAGTTTTCCAAAAAAGATTTTTAATTTCACAATCATCTATTAGAATTTTGAGAAAAAGGAATTATAATCAACAAATATTTAATATTTAAATCAAAATTATTTAAGTAAAACTAAATTTTTAAATATCAAACTTACAGAAATTAAATTGTATTTTATTATATCAATATCTATCTAGTTGCCAATTTAAAAAAAATCAATAACACACTTCAAATATGTTTGGTCTAGCGTCCCAGAGAAACAAAGTAAAAGTAATATGAATTATTTAAAATTCCAAAATACTCTTCAACTGCCATGGGCAATACTTGTGAATATAATGCTAATTTGTTAATGTCTCCAAATCCACAAATGGAAACAAAATGAAACACAATAAATGGATCTTAGTACTGCTGGGAAAGACCGTTAGGTTAGGCAAGAATCTCTTATGATACTGTACTGGAAGAAGATGATACATTAATTATTTTGAATTTTGTCTTGTCTAAGCTCTGCTACCATTCTAATCCTCTGGACACTTCTAAGCACCGTATGTAGGTCCCCAACTTTGGCATCACACAAACCAAAATTTTCAAGGTATTAAAACTGGATTGATTTTTGCTTCTAGAACATAGAGCAGGAGAAACAGTTTCCTTGGGGTCTGAATGGTGTTAATGATACCGGAAGAGGGCAAGGAAATACTAGGTAGAAAAGAGCGAGGTCCCTGGTGAGGGCTCCACCCTCAAGTTTGTACCTGCAAACCTAAATGAGAACAAGGACTCTTGTTATCGCACGGGAATGTTGCGTTTTCCAAGACCACTCTGTCCTGCCACGCCCCCTATCCTGTGCCATATACACCGGAAGCCTTAGCTGGCTCAGACATAGTGACTGGATGTCGAGAGGAATAGAGGAGCACAGTGGCAGAGAAGAGAAGGGCAGAGAGCTGCAGACCAGCCGACCGGCACGACAGAGAAGGAGAGAAGAGAAGAGGTGTCTGAATTCCAGGGGAAGATTTTCTCTGCCCCCACCCTCCACCCCACCTTCCCACTTCCAGCTCCTCATCCCGTTGAAAGCCACCTCTACTGCTCAATAAAGTCTTCACATTCTTCATCTTTCAAATAGTTTCTGTGACCTGATTTGTCCAGGACAGCCAGACGAGAACTTGAGGGTTAACACTCAGCCGTCCCCGACGGCCGAGCAAGGGAGCGTTGTAACACACCCCTAGACTCTGCTGTGGGGCGGGAACTCAAAGGTGCTCGCCCCTGGCTCCTGCACTGGCTCACCTGCATGCTCCCCCTTCCGAAAGGGTTCTGAGCTGTGGGCTGAGTGAAACGAACCACTCCAGTTCCCTCCTGCCCGCCAAGGGGGTCACGGGAATGCTCCCCGCTCATCAGTTCAAATTACAGATGTTTAGAGTAATGATGCGTTGCTCTGTTTTGGTGCTAAGTGCTAGATCCTGAGTGAAGGATATACCAAATGTTGTACATATAGAAACATCACATAGTACAAGAACTCATAGGTTCCTTAGTGTACAGTGAATAATTAACTTTACTCAAAGAGGGGTCTGGCCTTTGTCCTTAACTACTAGGAGGTGATCTCTAGGTTCCTTCAATGTCTTAAGAGTGTTTTTGTTTACCGGGGGCGGGGCGGGGGGCTTTGGCCACTAGGCGGCCTAACAATGTAATTTATGGTGGAGGCTGTGGAACATACCACATACTGTTCCAACCTCTGGAGAAAATGGAGACTAACCAAACTTCTGGATAATGGAGACCAAAAGTCAGCTATGTGGGCAAAATGTAATTGAAACCCAATACAAACTCTGAACACCAATGACTAGGGGGAGCTTCCCTGGTTGGCAATACAGTAGTTGGCCCACCATTTCCATGAATTCCACCAACTGTGGATCAAACTTATTAAGAAAAAAATAGCAATACAATAATAAAAATAATACAAACTAAAAACCAATAAAATATAACAACTATTTGCATAGCATTTACGTTGTATTAGGTATTTATAAGCAGTCTAGACATGTTTTAAAGTATATGGGTGGATATGCATAGGTTATATGTAAATTCTATGCCATTTTATATAAGGGACTTGAGTATCTATGCATTTTGGTATCTGCAGAAGGTCCTTGAACTGTTTCCCCACAGATACCAATGGACAACTGTATTCTTTGAGTATTGTCACACTTCAATACCAAGAAGGTAATGTGTCCCTGATAATGACAGAAACTTCATTTTCAGAACCCGCCCAGATTTGCCCTATGTTCTGTTCTTTCAGCTGTTTCTAATTTGTATACTTTCATTATAATAAAACTGTAAACATAAGTATACAATTTTCTTGAGTTCTGTGAGCTATTCTAGCAAATGACTGAATCTGAGGGTGGTCGTGGGAACTCCCAAATTTGTAGCCAGTTGGTCTGAAGTAAGGGTGGTCTTGGGATACCCAACTTTGTGGCTAGCATCTGAAGCAAGGGAAATATTGTAGGAACTATTCTCTCACTGTTTGCCTAAATGCCATTGCATTTAACACTTTGCATTTTGTGTGGTTGGGATATGTGAGCCCTCTATAGCAGACTGCCAAGTTTCTCTGTACCAAACAAAGTGTGATCCTTTTTCTCAGAGCACCTCTGTATTTATTTTGTTTAATCCATGAGTACTATTTATCCACATTTCCTCTTGCAAGAAGTCTCCTGTCTACTGATCATCCCCCCATTTTCTTCACTTGTGTATATTGTTTTTGTTTACTTTTTTAAACAGCTTAATTTATATACAGTAAACATAAAATAAGCTGCACATGATTAAACTAATAAGATTTGACATATGTATACACCCATGAAAACATCACCACGATCAACATAATAAACATATTATCTACAGAAGTTTCCTCAAGTCTCTGCAATCCTCTCCCTGCCCCTCCCAATCCCCTCCACCACAGAAAATCATTTATTTGCTTCTATCTATAAGCAAACTGTCTATAGATAAGTTTGAATTTTATAGAATTTTACATAAATAGAGTCATATAGCAGTACTCCTTTTAGTCTGGTTTCTTTCATTCAGCGTAATTATTCTATGAGCCTCAAGACTGATGAGTGATTCAATAGTTATTGCTTTCTATTGCTGAGTGATATTCCATTGTATACAAAATTCCACAATATGTTTCCCATTGACCTATTGTTGGAGATGTGGATTATTTTCAGCTTTGGTTGTTATAAATAGAGCTGCTATGAACATTTATGAATAAGTATGGACATATACTTTCCTTGCTGTTGAGTAAATACTAAACATAGAATGACGGGGTCATGTGGTATATGTTTAACTTCTTAAGAAACTGAAAAGCTGTTTTTCAAAGCAGTTGTATCATTTTACACATTTTACATTTGTACTAATAGCATATAAGAGTTTCAGTTGCAATGCATCCTCATCAACACTTTACACTTTAATTTTAGACTTTCTAATAAGTGTGTAGTGTTATGAAATTGCTGTTCTAATTTGCATTTCTCCAGTGATTAATGATGTTGAAGATCATTTCAATATACTTATTACCATCAATTTATATTCTTTAATAAAAGTGTTCAAATATTTTGCTTTTTTTTAATTGGGCTCTTTGTTGTCTTACTGAGTTTTGAGAGTTCTATATATACTCTGGATACAAGGGTTTTTTTTATTAGATATACAATTTGCAAATATTTTCTTTCGATGTGTGACTTCTCTTTTCAATTCCTTAACAATGTTGTTCAAGAGCCAGTTTTTTACTTAGATAACCTTCCATTTTACAACACTTTCTTTTATGTATTATGATTCTGGTGTTGTCTATTTAGTCAACCCAAGGTTAAAACAATGTGTTCTCATATTTTCCTCTAGTGAGTTTATGGTCTGGGGTGTTACATTTAGGTCTATGACTTATTTTGAGTCTATTTTTTTGTATCTGGAGGTAGGTATGAAGAAAGGTTCTGTTTTTTAAATGAATATCCAATCCAGAACAATTAAACAATTATATTCTTTTTCATGGAATTAACTTCACACTTTTGTTGAATATCAATTGAATATGTAACTGTTCGATTAATCTACTTGTTTATACATAAACCATTATCAATTTGTGTTGAATACCTTAACTTTAAAATAAGTCCTGAAGCCAGATAGTTTGTCTTCCAACTTGAATCTTTTTTTCAAGTTCTTTTGTCTATTCTAAGTGCTTTGTGTTTTTATATGAACCTTAGAATGAGCTCGCCAATTTCTGAAAACAAATCATGCTAAGATTTTGATTGAGACGGCATTAAATCTATAGTTCAACTTGAGGAGAACAGATATCTTAATATTATTATGTGTTTCAATTTATAAAGAAGATATGCCTTTTCATTTATTTAGATCTTTTATTATTACATTTTACAATTTTTAGTGCACAGGCAAGCCTTGCACGTGTTTGCTTTTCAGACTTGTTCTTAAGTATTTTATATTTTAATGTTACTATAGATGGTATTTATTTAAATTTCATTTTCCAACTTTAAGTTGCTGACATATATAAATACAATTAATTTTAGTATATTTGTCTTTTACCCTGCAGTGTGCTAAACTCACTTAGTAGTTCCAATTTCTTATTTTCTAGTCTAAATGACTTTATTTTCTTAGCTTATTGCACTGTCAAAGACATCCTGCATGATATTGAATGGAAGTGGTGAGAGTGAACAGCCTTGCCTTCTTGCTGATCTTAGAGAAAAAGTATTCAGTCTTTCATCATAATGTATATTTAACTGTAGATTTTTCATGATGACTCTATCAGGTTGAGAAAGTTTCCTTATATGCTTAGAAAGTTGAAAGTTTATGGATGGTTGATGTCATCAAATGCTATTTCTGCACCTATTGGGATTATTATGTATTTTTATTTTTTAGTCTGCTGATACAATGAACTACATTGATTTTCAAACTTTAAACAAATTTTGTATTCTTCAGACAAAACTCACTTGGTCAGTGATTTTTATGTTTTATGAAGTATTCTTGGATTCAATTTGCTATCATTTTGTTAAGAATTTTTGCACCTATGTTCACAAGGCATGTGGGCTTGCTATGTTCTATTTGTGTAATATCTTAATCTGATTTTAGGATCACAGAACACAAGTCTCATAAGTTTTATTTTTATTGATGAGTTGATATAGTATGGATATTATGTCTTCTTTATTTAATTGAATTCATCAGTTACCTAGAATTAAACTTCTTTCTGGGAAGATTTCTTTTTATCTGCAATAACATTGTTTTTAATAGACCTATGGCTGTTCAGGTTGTCTGTTTCTTCTTGAGTAAAGATTATAGTTTGTGGTTTTTAAGGAATTTGCCTATTTCATGTAAATTGTCAAATTTACTGACATAAAGTTTTTATAATATCTGTTACCATCATTTTAATAACTGTAATATCTGTCCTAATGTCACCCTTCTCATTGCTGATATTGGTAATTGGTTTCTTCTCTCTTTTTTCCCCCTGATCAGCCAGACTAGAGTGTTATCAATTTTATTGGTCACCTCACAAACCAGCTTTTGGTTTCATTGTTTTCCCTGTGGTTTTCCTGGTTGATATTGCATTTGTTGTTGCCTTTATATTTATTATTTCTATCTTGTGAATTTCATATATGCAGCATCTAGTTGAGCTCACTTATTTGTCCAGTTTGATAACCTTTACCTTTTAAAAGGGTGTTTAGTCCATTTATATTTAAAGTTATTATTATTAAAATTAGCCTTAAATCTATTTCTGTAAGTTTTTATCTATCTATTAATATATATTTTTTCTGTACCATTTGATAACAAATTACATACTCCATAAAACTTTGCCCTTAGAAACTTTGATGTGTATTTTCTAAAAATAAAGATGTATTCTTACGTAATCCCGGTATAATTATCAATTTTGTAAGTTTATATTGATACATTTCTTATAACTATTTTACTGTCTATACCTTAATTTTATCAGTTGATCAATTAATGTCTTTTATATCATTTTCTGCTCTCAGACAGGATCCAGTATAGAGTAAAATAGTGTGCTATCTGCCATGTATCTTTATTTTCCTTCAATCTGGTACATTTTCACAGTTTTTTAAAAAATCTTTCATGACATTGACACTTTGAAGAATAAAAATCACCTTTTAGACTCAAATTTTTCTTTATTTTTGTATTTGATGTTTCCTCATGATTGGATTATGGTTATGTATTCTCACCTAGAACACTACATACTTGATTTTATGTCTTTCTAAATTATCACATCTGAAGGTACATGTTGTCCATCTCTTCCTCACTGATGCTGTTAAATTTTTGATCACCTGGTCACAATAGAGTGCTCAAATCTCCATTGAATAATTACTGATTTTTTTCTCCATTGAAATTAATATGCAGCCTTTGGGTGACACTTTAAGACAATGCATATATTCTCCTAATGAAAAGTTCTTTCTAAGGTTAGCACAGTCATGAGCCTGCCTAAATCCATATATTACATATTTACCAAACGATTATTTTCCAAGTCTAACATTTCCTCCATATTTGTCAGTTAGTCCTCAATATTTACTTTAAGGAAGATGTCTCTTTTCTCCATTTATTTATTTCTCTATTTATAAATTACCATTTGTTCAGAAGATTATAATTAATTAAGGTATGTAATTATTTTGGTGCTCAAATTCTCCTAGATTTGGCCAATCAGAGCCCCTTCAGCCTGGTACCTGTATCCTTATGATACACGTCCATTTTTTTTTTATACTTCCTTACTTTCAAGCCTAACAAGAAGGGCCACAATCATCTTGAACCTACCATACCTCAGCCCTGCTATTAGGTGTCTGTCTTCAAGGTGTCCTGGTTCATTTTAATGAAGAGAAGTAACAGAGAACAAAACAAGGGCATCAAGTGAGTTCGTTGCTATTGCTATCTCTTCTTGAATGAGGATATATATTTAAATACCATATTCATGAGTTACTTTGATTAGTTTGTCATTTAATTTATTTCCCTTCCTCGTGGTTATGATATTCAACTGAAATGCAATTAGATCCATTTGTTTCAGTGTTCTTTCAGTTTTTTAGTTATATTTCCCCTTTCACACTTCTATTAATTTATTTCTAAAATAAATGTAGACTTACACAGTTTCAAATGCCACAATTATACAAAGGGTATACTGAAGAAAATGTCATTCTCTCCCCTTATGACTCCCACCTTATTCTCACCTCAAGTTGTTCTACCACTAGTCTTTTTGAACTACAGTGAAATTTCATATAGCAAGCCATGACAGCATTTGAATTTTGTTACTGTTTGTCACTACTTGGTGATAAAAGACTGGTATGTATTTCTGAAGTATAAATATATGTATGCATGGTTGTGCATCATCAAAATAAAGACACAAAAATATAAAAGTGTCATAGAGAACTCATTGACTTCTGATAATTTATCTGTGGATTAAAGTTCAAGAAACATGTGCTTTTCTTATTTTCTCTCAGTAATCATATCGCATAACACAGAAAGAAAGAGAGAGATAAGGAAAGAGAGAAAGAGAGAGCAAGAGAGAGAGACAGCAAGAGAGAGAGAAAGAAAAAAACAGAAAGGAAAGAAAGAGAAAGAAAGGGAAAGGAAGGAAGGGGAGGGGAAGGAGAAAGAAAGAAGAAAGAGAAAGAAAAAGGGAAAGAAAGGAAGAAGAAAGAGAGAAAAAGAAAGAAAAGAGTGCGCTGCCATCTTTTTTGTTTATAAACCATTGCTTCTGCTCTGCAACAGTATATATCTTTCATGGGATATATAAATAAAAGGTTATGTGTTGAGAAAAACAAGTAGTTTATGTAGGTTACAGTAAATACAATGCATGCCTATTCTTCCTAATGGTATGAATGTGGTCAAATATAAGAAAAAAACCTGTACTTAGCTAATAGGTTTTTTCGTTCATATTCCTCACTTGAGTTTTGCTAGAGAGTGTACTTATTATACTAGATTATTTATTACCTGAAGAATTCATAGAAATTCAATAATAATATTCAAATTACGGGTATAAAATAAAATAGGAGCACCTAATACATGTTTCCCAAATCTCTTCTTCCTTTCCTCTATTGCACTCCTAACCCAGTCAGCACTTCTGGCTCATACATCACAAACTTGTTCAATACTTTTTCTATATGAAAATTCAATTCTGACTCAATTCCTCCTCCAAGTTATGTTATATGTTAATTACACATTCTTTCCCCTTACTTCTAATATCTCACTTTCATATATCAAGTTTTGTTAGTCGCATCTTAATTCTAGAAATTACATTGCAATAAATTGAAAGTTTTGAGGTGAATCCAACATACTATCAAATCATTTTGGTAATTGAGGATAAAGCAGAAAAACAATAAGTAACCATATCAGACACTTGGATTTAAATAATAAAATTTGATTAAATTTCATTTTCTTAGCATTTCATAACTTAATTCTCCTTCCCACATATTACCCTTTCATTTAGTTAGAAAATAGTTGTCTTAGTCATAAATATCTAAGCAGAACTATAAGAAAAGTATTACATTAAAATGTGATTAAGATATTTTGACTGTGGGAAATAAAAAAATTCCAGGCACAATAAAAATAAAAAAACAAAAAGTTCCTGTGTAAGCTCTATTTTTAAATTGTTGTTGTTGTTTTGCTTTTTCAGTGCGTATATAATTTTGTTAATGTGGTATGAAAGAGAAAGTTCTATTTACTAACATATGAGAGATTCTCATCAGTGATTTGTCTTAAGCATGAAGATCAAGTTCAGTTCTCTAATAATACCAGATGGTCTGTTATCCTTCTGTATTAACTCATAGTCTGAGGAGAATTGTAACACGTGGCAGACTCAGTAAAGAGTTGAATTCCAAATTCTTAGCAGAGTTCTGAAAGATGGCAATAACGTTTTGACAAGGAAAAATAATACACAGGTCTTGGCGGCAGTTTCTCAGGCTCAAACTGGTTCCTCCCTCTTTCTTCACCCACGTTTCCAACTTTTTTTTTCAAATTGGTGTTTTGGTTTTGAGAAAAGTGCACAAACAAAAAGCTTCTTATTGGTCTATACATCCTTGAGAGTCTACCCCACTCTATCTGTATCACTCTAATGGGTGATTTTTGTTCCATTTAAAATAGCGTATTCTTACCAGCCCTTTACCTTCTCTTTCCTGCTTTATTTTTCTTCTCACCAGTTACGACCCTTTGATATACTATCTATTTTACCTATTTAATGTTACTGTCTTTATAAATGGAGATGTCAGGTCCACACAGGGCTTCCAGGTCCATGCAGACTGTTTGGAAATATTTGCCTCTGTTTCCTTGAAAGGCAAAAGCAGATAAGAAATTTGAGCAAAGTTAAGGAAAACAAGAAGAGACGCTAAGCCTTTGGTGGTTTGGAGTTGTTTGGGAAGTCCAAAAATATTTGAAGTTTTGGGCACCTCAGAAAGCTTTGAATAGGTAGTTTTAGAACAACTGAGAACACTTATTTAACACAGTGACTAATAACTTGATTGCCCAATAGTTGATGCTGCCTGAAGATGTAAGCAATTTAATAGTAATTCTGATAATAAGATAATTAAGATAAAAATAGTTTAGAATTACTTGATTAAAATAGCAAGAGACATATTGCAGTTGCAAGAGACAAACACATATTGAGACAGCCTTTGAGAATCAATACATCCATTTCTACCTGTGATGTCACTGTCAGTCTCTTGGTGAATACAAGGCTGGCTGGACCATGTCCTGACCTGGAGGACATTTTGAATGCTCTTGCTAAAATACAGTAAATGTATTGAACAAACAATCTACGCATACTCACAAAGTTTACCTCTAGCTATCTGTCTTGTGTGTTAATTTTCAGATATTTATTTAGCACCTGTTATGGGCTATGGAGAATATTGGGTTATTTAAACAAGAGAATGACTTAAACATAACTGTTGAAATACTCTTTGCTGCATTTTAGACATGATTTTATTATCCAATGAAAAACTTTAAGAAAGTTTATTTCCATGGGTAATCTAAGCTGATCTTCTTTTAAAACAATAAAATCTAATTCCACATCCTCCCTTCCATTCATTCTTACTCTTTCTCGCTTTTACTTTCAACAAATATCAAGCACATACTAGAAGCTAGGGGCTATGCTGACCTTTAGGGATCTAGGTGTGAGTGAAACAAACAAGATGACTATCTGCTTGATTCTTAGACTCTATTAAAATTAACAGAGAAATCATCAATTTAAATAGCATGATGACTGTTTTGAGAAAGTGTAGGTGCATATGAGAAACAACTGACTTTTCTACACTTCAGAGAAAACTTCCCACACTATGGCTATCTGACAATGAAAAATGGATAGGAGATAGTCTGATAAAGTGGGTTGTGGGAAGAGTGTCAAGTAGAATATATTTGATTATCTGGAGGTTAAGAAAGAAGGTGATCAGTTTTGAGGAACTTAAACTCGTTCAGCATGGTCAGAATGAAGACTAGCATGTTGAAATCTGAGACAACAAAGTGAGATGAGGAAGAATTAGGTAATCCTTAAGGTGTAAATTTTTATCCTATGGGTGGTGAAATGCCATTGACAATTTATGAATTGGAGAGTAGAAGGATGAGACTTGGATTTTAGAACAATTTCTCAAGAAAGTAAAGAGAATAAATATTTTTTAAAAACTGGAAACAGGGCTAGAAACTTGGAAGATGTTTCATAAATCTAGACAGAAGGTAGACTATAGTGACGATCTCTGGGGTAGTGATGTGCGTAGATTTGAAACAACGAATACGTTTATAACATGGAATTTAAGTTGCCCATGAGACATTCAAGTGGATGTATTTAGTAAACAGTTGGATATATGGCTTAACAATTGGAAAAGAAATCAGAAGTGAAGTCAATGTTTGAGTTTATTTTGTGATTCATTTATTTTAAAAATATTTGTTTATGACCTACCATGTCCCATATTGGGGACTGAAACTAGCTACTGGTGCTGCAAAAGAGAACAAAGCAAACAATGTTTATAAGTTCTTTTAAGCCAGTTGGAGAGAGAATAACATAAAAAGAGGTTAAATAGATAGTATATCAAAGAATCATAAGTAGTGAGAAGAAAAATAAAGCAGGATAGAGAAGGAAGAGTGCTGATAAGAATATGCCATTTTAAATGAAAGAAAAGAGTACTCCCTAGGGTTATATTTAAGCAAAGACCTGAAGAAGATGAGCAAGCAAACCATGAAGCCATTGGGAAGGAGTGATCCAGGTGGCAGAATCAGCAAGTGCAAAAGCCCTAGGCAACGATTTGCCCAATAAATAAGTAAGGATACGCCCAATATATAAGTAAGGATACGTTGGTAATTAAAATAATAGAATATGGTTTCAGGTCTTAGATTTAAGTCTTTGATCCATCTTGAGCTCATTTTTGTATAAGATTAGAGATGAGAATCCAGTTTCATTCTTCTACATGTGGCTTTCCAATTATCCCAGCACCATGTGTTGAATAGGGTGCCCTTTCCCTACTTCAGGGTTTTGTTTGCTTTGTTGAAGATCATTGACTGAAAATATTTGGCTTCATTTCTGGGTTCTCTATTCTGTTCCATTGGTCTATGTCCCAATTTTTATGAGTACCACGCTGTTTTGGTGACTATGGCCTTATAGTATAGTTTGAAGTCAGGTAATGTGATGCCTTCAGATTTGTTCTTTTTGCTTAGTCTTGCTTTGACTATATGGGCTGTTTTTTGGTTCAACATGAATTTTAGGATTGTTTTTTCTAGTTCTCTATAATGATGGTGGTATTTTGATGGGAATTGCATTGAACTTGTAGATTGCTTTGGTGGTATGGTCATTTTCACAATATTGATTTTACCCATCCATGAGCATGGGTTGTGTTTTCATTTGTTTGTGTCATCTATGATTTCTTTCATCAGTGTTTTGTAGTTTTCCTTGTAGAGCTCTTTCACCTCCTTGGTTAGGTATATTCCTAAGTATTTTATTTTATTTTATTTTATTTTTTGCAGCTATTGTAAAAGGGATTGAGTTCTTTATTTGATTTTTAGCTTGGTTGCTGTTGGTGTATAACAGAGCTACTGATTTGCATTCATTAATTTTGTATCCTGAGATTTTGCTGAATTCATTTACCAGTTCTAGGAGCTTTTTGGATCAGTTTTAGGGTTTTCTAGGTTTAGAATCATATCATCAGCAAACAGTGATAATTTGACTTCCTCTTTACCAATTTGGATGCCCTTGGTTTCTTTGTCTTGTCTGATTGCTCTGGCTAGAACTTCCAGTACTATGTTGAATAGAAATGGTGAAGGTTGGCATCCTTGTCTTGTTCCAGCTCCCAGGGGGAATGCTTTCAACTTTTCCCCCATTCAGTATAATGTTGGCTGTGGGTTTGTCATAGATGGCTTTTATTACCTTAACTTATGTCGCTTCTCTGTCAATTTTGCTGAGGGTTTTAATCATCAAGTGATGCTGGATTTTGTCAAATACTTTTTCTGCATCTACTGAGATGATCAGCTGATTTTTGTTTTTTATTTCTGTTTATGTGGTGTACCACATTTATTGACTTGCAAATGTTAAACCATCCCTGCATCCCTGGTATGAAAACCACTTGATCATGGTGGATTATCTTTTTGATATGCTGTTGGATTTGGTTAGCTAGTAATTTGTTGAGGATTTTTGCATCTATGTACATCAGGGATATTAGTCTGAAGTTTTCTTTTTTTGTTATGTTCTTCTCTGGTTTTGGTATTAGGGTTATACCGGCTTCATAGAATGATTTAGGGGGGGTTCCTTCTTTTCTTTTCCTGTGAAATAGTGTCTTAGGCAAAGACTTCATGACAAAGAACCCAAAAGCAAATGCAACAAAAACAAAAATTAAAAATGGGACTTAATTAAGCTAAAAAGATTATGCAAAGGAAAAGAAATAATCAGCAGAGTTAACAGACAACCCACAGAATGGGAGAAAATCTTCATAATCTGTACATCTGACCAAGGACTAATATCCAGAATCTACAAATAACTCAAATAAATCAGCAAGAAAAAAAACAAGCAATCCCATCAAAAAGTGGGCTAAGGACATGAATAGACAATTCTCAAAAGAAGATATACAAATGGCCAACAAGCATATGGAAAAATGCTCAACAACATTAATTATCAGGAAAATGCAAATCAAAACCACAATGCAATACCACCTCACTCCTACAAGAATGGCCATAATCAAAAAACCAAAAAATAACAGACATAGGCATGGATGCGTTGAAAAGGGAACACTTTTACATTGTTGGTGGGAATGTAAACTAGTACAACCACTATGGGAACCAGTGTGGAGATTCCTTAAAAAGCTAAAAGTAGATCTACCATTTGATCCAGCATTCCCACTATGTAGTATCTATCCAGAGGAAAAGAAGTCATTATACCAAAAAGATACTTGCACACACGTTTATGGCAGCACAATTTGCAATTACAAAAATATAGAACAAGCCCAAATGCCCATCAATCAATGAGTGGATAAAGAAAGTGTATTATGTATATACCGTGGAATACTACTCAGCCATAAAAAGGAATGGAATAATGGCATTTGTAGCAACCTAGGTGGAATTGGAGACTATTTTTTAAATGAAGTAACTCGGGAATGGAAAACCAAACATCGTGTGTTCTCACTCATAATTGGGAGCTAAGCTATGAGGACGCAAAGGCATAAGAATGATACAATGGACTTTGGGGACTAGGGGGAAATGGTGGGAGTGGGATGAGGGATAAAAGACTACAACATTGAGTACAGTTTGCACTGCTTGGGTGATGGGTGCACTAAAATCTCAGAAATCACCACTAAACAACTTATTCATGTAATCAAACACCACCTGTTCCCCCAAAACCTATTGAAATATAAAATAAATTTTAAAAAAGAAAAAATATCATAGGATAATAAAGAAGGAATAGAAGAAGGACAAGGAGAAGGAGGAATGGAAGGCAGGCAGGCAAATAGGCAAGCAGGCAGGCAAGAAGGAAGGAGGGAAGGAAGGAAGGGAGGGAGGGAGGAAAGGGAGAGGAGAGGAGGGGAAGGGAGGCAAGGAAAGGGAAGGCAAGGGAAGAGAAAAGGAAAGGTATCCTTTACCTTAAAATAAAGGTTACCTGTATTACTGCCAAAATATCCATTTAGATAAAGCCTTCCTCACATGCATTACAAAATTGCCTGTCTTCCTTGTGTAGTATATAACATTCCACTTTTACTGGTAAACGTTATCGACAGAACTGTGGGATAGGGTATATTCAGGCTTTTGTAGATGTGCTTGCTCTAACTTTGAATATTTTAAGGGTACTAGGATTATGATCTGTACATAAAAAAGAAAAACTAGTCTACCTTTTACAGTGCCTTTATCTATCCTATTTCTTACTTTATCTCATAGAAAAACTGATCTGAAACCCATCTAATTTTTTTATATCAACTAATACTGTGCAGCCATATTTCTCTTCACCATATTCTTGTGCAATCAACTTTTCTACCAACGATTTTGCATTTATCTCTTGTACAACTTTATTAGTCTAATAGAACAACAAAAAGTTTTTTTCTTTTAATCTTAAGGCTATCATGCAACGTGTCACCTTGTCTTACCTACAAACTTGATTTGAATTTTTGCTATGTCTACTAATCATAATTCTACAGAAATATTAGTAAAATAATTTTATACATCTTTCTTCAATATCATTTCACCAAGAGGTCTTAACTTACCTGGCAAGGGATAATATGAGCTTTGCCCAAATTCACTAACATGAACCCTGCAGTATCAGGAAGTACCTTGAGCATCTCTGCTTAGTCTCAAACATGCAGAATTGTCCAAGCATATGGTAGTAACTTTGCAATTTATGCCCTATCATTTTAAGTACATTCACTCTTCTTTACACAAATAAGTGTTACATCATGTTTAAATTTACCACTTTATAAGTGAGAGAATTTATACCGAGTAGCCAAATAATCTGTTTAATATTAACTAGATTATAATGGATTTAAGGCTAGGGCTTATGCATTGCTTTTCTGTTTCTATCCTGACAAACTCAGTATGGTGCTTTGCATACAGTATGTATTTGAATAGCATACTTAACTAATTGAAGGAAAATTGTTTGAGCTGTAAATTATACCACTGTCTGCATGGAGGCACTTACTTAAATGGTTGGAAAGTAATTTGGAGGCAGTATGTACAAAGTGGATAATACCCTTGAAAACCCAAATCTATAAAGTGAGAGTAAATGACACATCTATCAAATCATTAATGACTAAAACTTAAATACTATAAAAATTGGAATTTGATTAGCTGTCTTTATTTATTTAACTGTTGATAATGTACAATGTTCCTCAGTTTAACTGTCTTTCACGTTCTTCAACTCCTTTTTGGCACTGCATAAATTATATATACATATATACGTACATACACATAACTATATGTATATATAACAATTAAAATGTTATTTGGAGCAAAAAATTTTCTTTGAAGAAACTGGGGAATTTATCAAGCTTGAAAAAGTGATAAAGAGATGTCTAAGTTGAGAAATGTTGGAAAGTCTGGGACAGTGTTGTAAAGAAAAACCTATGATCCTTTTGGAAATACTTGCCTAAGTATGTCATTTCAGGACAGCTCCCTGCCACATAAGTAAGTTTTGTTGGAAACTGTGTTCATTTGTGCACTGTCAGGGTGGGATCATTTTTACAGTTTACAACGTGGACGGGCTCTGAGGGGAGGGAAAGCCTGATTTGTCACTTTCTGGCTTTACTCGACTAATCTAAGCTTAATACTGACTACAGTAAAACTTGGATTATCCTAACAGATTTTAAGAAAAATAAAAATAGGATGAAAAAATCTAGTTTAGTAGAAGAACGTGAGTCTACTCATTCAGATCTTTTGTATTCCATCGTACGGTCACACCATCTCAATTCAAAACGATAAATTTAAAGGAGCTTTCCATTGACTTTTAAATGTCATAGAGTACTGAGTTTTTCTCTTTTCTATTATTTACTTTTATTTTTGTAATCACAACAGAAAGAATGTATGTTTGACTGGATCCTCACATATTTTTCAAAAACACTTTTGGAACTACTCTATGGAATTTCCTTTAGGATCATTTTATGAGACATTCAAAAAATCAGAATCATTACTATGTATTCATATTTTTTGATGCAATGTCAAACCACAACTTGCAACAAATTGTTTTTGGCATTTAAAAACAATTAAGCCTACCCTCAATGATTCCACCTATAGGAACACGACAATAATATGTTTTGAACAAATAAGTAATTGAGAAAAAATTGAACAAAATGTAGTTACTCAAAATTATTCCATCAAAGAGGAAACCACTTATTTGAATATATAGTTTTGACATATTTAAAAGCATAGGGGTATTAAATTCACACAATATATTGGGATTAAAAGAATGGATTCCAGAACCAGACTTCCTGGATTAGCATCTTGGCTCTGGCATTTACCAAGTGTGTAATCTTAGACAAATCAGTTTACTCATTTAAAAAAAACATATGAAAGTAGTACACATTCATAAGAATGTGATGAGGGTACTTTCTGTGTGTGTATGTGAGTGTGTTTGTGTGTGAGTGTATAGTACCTAGTATGCACGAGCCCTATTCTAAGTTTATATATGTGTACATGTGTGTGTATAGCTATGATTATTCAGAAATGCTTTATTGTTTTAATTATAAAAAAACTACAATTATTTTTTCATAACAACTTTTTTATACTAAGAAAATCAACATATGTAGCCCATTTCATAATTCACCATTAGATACACATTTGCTGAGCAACTAACATGCCAGGAACTGCATCAGACATTAGATATTTAATATTTCTCAGATTTTATTTTGAGATGATTGAAGCTCTCTGCATGACACTTTTTAGGGCTAACTACTTAAATCGCACAGTCAAAAACCATTTCTGAGACTACTTTAATTGTGAAAGACTCTCTTCCTCTTCTTCACTCAACCCCATTTTTTGCCTTTATCTATGCAAACTAACATTTGCAAGCCAAGCTTTTTCTTATAAGCTTTTGGGAAAAAAAATTATCTCTTGGATAGGGATCCAAAATAAACAGTTCAAATAAGATAGGCTTTGGGAAAATGTTAATAAACTTGACTCTGGCAAATTATTTGAGTTTCCTTGTGTTTCTTTCACTTGGCAGGGATTTTAATTTGGAAGTTAAAAAAAAATGAAGAAAAATGTCCTAAGATTTCACACATGGATACTTTTATTATAAAATGATAATTTTCTTATAAAACCACAACTCAAGGTTGAAAATTGGGGGGGGGGGTTAATTTAAACTTAAATTATATAAAATAGATTGGACAAATAATGATATTGCCAGAAAACTTTGAATCATCCATATTTGACTAGAATCTCAGCATCTCATCAGTCAACAGGTCCTTACCAAATGTCTGCCCTTTTGGACTGCTTGCTAGGTGCTAAAGAAACAGTGACCACCAAAACAGACGCAACTCTTTCCCCGAGGAGCTTCCAGTCTTGCAGAAAACATAAAGTAATAATTATGAGCAAATTATTATAACTATCAGAACATAAATGAAGCACTTTTGGAATGCAGCCATTCAATATGATCCATATTTAGGTATTCTTCTTTAATATTGTAAAATATCTTTACCCAAAATTTTGGTGCCCATTGTCCCTAAATTCTAAACTTTTGAGAAGAAGAAATGAGAAGCATTATCCTTATTTCTAGTGAAGCAGAAGAAAAGTTAACTACAGCAATGTAGTGGTGGGAATAACAGTGAAGAAAGCTGACACACACCGTGATGGGTACATATAGGCACTGGAGATGTTGACTGGCTATCACTGCTGCTGTTGTTTCCTCTGGTTGCCTTGTCATACTTTCTTCTTAATAACAGCTAGGAAGGATTTTGCTAACTAGTGGGCTGCAATCATTAAGGACTTGGTGAAATTCCAAAATCCACAACCCCTAGGAATTTTCCTGGATCCCCTACTTGGAGAAACATTGTAAGCAACTTACAGCACACTAAATCAGAAAGGTTGGCCTGTAAAACCATTTATGTAATTCCTCTGCTTTTGTTTTGGGGAATCTTCCAAAAGACGTGTCTAGAGAATCAGATATAATTTGAGCAGAGTATGCTAACGTGGCTTCAACAATGATTTTACTTTTCTCGTAATTTTGTACTCAACAATCATTTTTTCCAGTGATGTGTCATGCTGTCCCAGTTGACTGTCTGGCCATATTTTGCCCTGGTGTTTGCTATAGCAAAAAGTGCAGCTATAAAATTATCTTCTTCAGCTTGATGTTAATTTCGATGAAATCTTCCAAGATGTATCTTTTTTCACCTCTAAATCTATGTGATAACAAAAGATCAAACAGTTCTCGATCATATTTTGAATGGGAAATATTGGTATCATAAAATAATTCAAGAGCCTTATTTTAGCTACTTATTTCTTTCTAGTTAGTCATCATAACAAATAACCAGCGAATGTACTTTTTTTCTCCCCTTCCTCTCCATAAAAAGTATGTCACTTGCACAACTTCAAGTTAGGAAATGGGAAGGGTCAGGGAAATCTCACACAATCCTACCCAGTTTGATCACACATTACCTCCAACAGCTAGCCTTCAGCTGTTGATCTAACACCGCCAGCCACACCCTAACTAAAATTTTAGAAGTGACTGTTTTAGCTGGGCACCAGGATACAATCCATGGCGACACACCCCTGATGCTGAATCTAGGTCAATGTGGTTGTCCACTTTGCAGCTAACCTTGCCCTGAACAACCAAAAAATAGATTACAATTTCTACACATAAAGGGACCACTCTAGAATACTATTACCTGCCTTGTATGTCTCCTTAGCATGCTCAACTAAACAGATTGAAGTTCCCACAATTCTCATGGGAATTGAAGCTAATAAATCAAGCAATAAAATATAAAGCTTTAGACATTTGTCTTACATTACATGTGGGGTGTCTGTATTTGTGGGAAGGTAAGGAATTTTCAGTATTTTGATTTGTATTTTTTCTTTTTTTATTTGACATTTTGCACAGTTTTTTCCTTTTAAAAATTTCACTGTAAGGAAATTGAGTCAAGAAAAATGAAAACAATTTAAACAAAAAGTGTGATAATTCCTCTTTGAAGCATTTTAATTTCATGATGCTTATTTATATGTCATTTTTTTTCTTTTTACCCTAAAATAAAAATAAATTAAAATTATGATGCATTTCTAGTTCAATTATTTCAATTCATTTTGAAATTAACTTTTGGCTTTTCTGTCATTCTCTTTCATGATCCTTGGTAAATTACCTGTATTTCTTTCTATTTTATAAATTTTTCTAATGGTCTCTGACTTGTAATACTTGTGGTGAACACAGAGTTTGACTGCTTTCAATTTATTTCCTAACTAGTTCTATTGTTTATTTTTTCTATTTTATAAATAAATTCATAACATCTGGAAGTTTTTTAAATCGATTATAAATCCAAAGACTTCCTATGCTGGAAAGAGTGACCTTCTTTTTTAAGAGTGATGGAAATACTGGAAATAATTAACTTATTGAAAATTACCATGAGTTCTAAAGGATACAAAGGAAATAGATTACTTCAAATGTGTTTTTCTGGATTAAGTGTTTCATATTTTAAATCATTCGCCATTTGATTCTTATTAATTTCCTACTATGCACAAGGCCATGTAATAGCTACGATGGAGTATAAAATGAAAGATAAACCTTAGTTTTTCCCTGGAGTAGCTTTCAGCCTAGTAAACGACATAAAAAGATGTAAATTAAAATAAACTAAGAGGCATAGGAAAGGTAAGGTAAATTAGAAGAAGAGCAAAATGATTTTAACAGGGAGGATCAGAAAGATTTTGTAGATTAGTTGATCTTTGGGTAGAATCTTCAAAATAGGATTTGAACATACAGAATGAGGAACAATCATTTTAGACAGAAAGACAGTATATGCAAAGGTATAGAAACCCAGAAATGTAGAGTAGGTATTGGAAAAAAAAAAAAAAAAGAGCCATTTGATTTACTAAGAAGATAGTTCTTGGATCAAGATGAATTGCATATCAAGAATTATCTAAAATAGTGTTTTGTATCCTGCTGGGTTTGGGTTGAGAAATAGAGAGAGTGGCTGGACATGAAATAATAGAAATCAAATTATATTAATCTATTTAGTATTATTATCCAAAGGTTAGCACTTTGAATAATCAATATGGCATAATTTTTATGTGAAGACTTTCTACTTGGACTAGTTTATTTTCATGAGTCATATGTTTCACCTTAATCACTTTATGAAATATATCTGATATCTATAAAATAAAGAGGTGAAGAGCAGAAACTGATCCATGGTCTGGGTCCTATATTGATTTTTTTAAGAAATGCTTATATTATTAAACACGTAATATTTTAAATACTATTTAATGCCATCCTAATTCAGTCAGTCTTCGTTACATTGATCAGTATTCATTATGTACAAGGGACTGTGTTTACTACTGTTCATGATTTTTAAAAGTGGGTGAGGGTAGGAAACAAAAAAGGTTACAAAGAGGAGTAAAATAAGTACATAAAGAAATACAAAACAATGCTTCTAAAACGGACATTGCCACAAGAAAGCCAAGACTCCAGAGGGCAACACTTGAATCCTTGGGAACGAAAGGAGACTATTTGCTGTGGCCTCCTTCCTCCAAGAACATATACCAAGAACATACCTAAATGTAGAGTTCTTTAAACATGATTTAATGTACAGACAAAAATGAAGGCTTTAGACAATTTAGTAGACAATTTAATAGTCATGGCAAGTTAAACACAGAAAGGTCTGTTTATGTCTGTTTATTTTAGGCAAGGGAGCCTGATGAGGAGGCTTTCAATTTTTGTGTACTTAAGAATTATTTGGAATCAAAGATCCTAAATCTGAGCCCCCATTGTGTATCTGAATAGAAAAGATATTGATAGGAATTAAAAATCAGTCTCCATTTGAAGCATGTAGATTCCCTGTTTGGCTTTGACCTATTTCATGTATCTATCAGAAGATCGTGATTTGGGCCTTCCTTTTATCTTTACACAGAATTGGCTACATCTGAAGAGCTGTTACAGCTGTGTTGGATATTGCTGAAAATTCCTAAGGATGACTCAGATGACAAATTATATTTGATAGAGAGTCTAGTGGGATTTGCAGAGTGGAGCTTCAACCCTGAGAATGATTAAGTTAACTGAAGACTCAACAGGGAACGCCTGAGCTGCTTCACGATGTGGCATCCCAGTTTCTGTGTCACCCCTGTGGTAAATTTATAAAGTAATCACACTATTCAGGAATGAGATTAGGTAAGGAGATGAATTTCAATTTCCTATGAATTTTCAAATATAATTACAATAATAATTATGATAGTAAATAAAGCTATAATTAAAATATAAGTATATCAGAACTTCGTTCAAGAGAACATGCTTACAATACTTCAGAAAGTTTCACAATTCAAGTAGAGGCTTACCAGTAGTTTCCCTTTCAATGATTAATAGTCTGTTATGTTAAATAAGATTTCAGGTGACATGTTTATGTCTACATAAGCAAAAACTCATAGCTACTTATCTACTTATGTGAAGCAACATTGATATAACAAATACAAGTTATCTTACATGTATATTAAGGAAGTTTCCTAGAAATTTTTACTTGCTTGAATTTTTGTCAGCTTTTAAAAGTATATACATACGTATTTAATTATACATATATATGTGGGGGGTATATAAACATATACACACGCAAACACACAAAAACACATATGTGAACTCTTTTGCATGCCCTAAGATTGTACTTCATTAAGTGTAAAGTAGTGGACTTTTACTTAAATACAATACTGAAAATTACTCAAAGATTAATGACAAGACAAAAATCAGAATGGTAATTTTTGTAAATTGGCCATTAACTCCATAACATTATCATTTTTTTCATCCTTTCACAATGCCTCATTAGAAAACATACAAAATTAAGTGTCAGATTTGTATTTACCACACTTCTAAATTGCGTAAAAATATCTTTACCACAATCAGTGATTAGTGGAAAGCATGGTGAAAATATTTGTAAAGTGTGCTAGTCAGTTCCAGTTGCAATGAATTATTTTGAGGGTCATGGAACCTCTTTGAACTTTCTGTTCAATCTTGGGATACTTCCCAGCTGCAAAACACAAAGACAAAAATTCAGAGCCTTAGCTTTAATAGCAAAGAATAGGTAGGAATCAAGATACTCAGTTTTTTCTAACTAAATTTTACTGGAACTTTACTTTACTAAATGTCAAGAAAATATGGATTTTGTACAAAAGTGAAAATTTTTAGTTATTTACAATTCCAATGAGTAATTTTGAGAGTCATGTAACCTCTTTAAACTTTCTGTTCATTCTTGGGATACTTTTCAGTTGCAAAATACAAAGATAAAAATTTAGAGCCTTAAGTTTAATAACAAAGAATAGATAGGAATTGAGATACTTCGTGTTTCCTAACTAAATTTTACTAAAACTTTATTTTACTAAATGTCAAGAAAATATAAATCTTGTACAAAAGTGAAATTTCCAGGCTAAAAAGAAATGGTTATTAAAATGGTTCTATAAGAAAAAAACAAGGGGTCAATGAACTCTACCTTGGGGACTAAGGGGAAATTAAAGAAAAGGGTCTTGAAGACTTGGTCATATAATCACTCAAAAACTGGACTATCATGTCCCACTGCCAGTGTAATTTGCCTCAATCCTGGACATATCTATGGTTAAATATGTTTAAGTCCTGCAAGTACAACATGACTTTTTCAACCATATTTTTGGCTCTACTATGCACATACTAGTATTTGTTCAAATTCTTTTAAAGGAAACACAACTCTTCAAATGTGGTTTTACCTTTATCAACTGAGTGAACTGATCAACCTCTCTGGGAATAATAAAGAAGACCTGCATTGTATTTTACAGTTGTATTGGTAGTTCTATTATCACAAGTAGTTTTTAAATGGCTTTACAGTGATTTGAAATCTAGAAAATGTCCCTAAAAATAAAGCATCTTGCTGGCTTCAAAAAGAAAATCACACATAAAGCCGCACAACAAAGGGGAGGGGAGAGGAAAGAGAGAAACATTGAAACATTTCTGTTCCATGTGTTTTCCATGGTGGAGATAATTGATTTTCTTAGTGCTGTTGTAGAAAGCGCTGCTGGCATTCACTGGCCTACTGAGTTCATCACAGCTGTGCTTGTGCATCTCTCTCAAGCTCCACTTTCCACTGAATTGGAAAAGATTTGAATTTTTGGTTGATAATCTGCCACACCCTTGCTTTGCCTCATCTTTCCAGGCACTCTCTTTGTTAAAGGAGATCCAGATTAATCAGTGCTTTAGTTGGTGCAGGTATTTAGATTTGTGTTAAAGCTCCAAATGCAATCCAAAAAGCAAAATGACATGTTTATGTGTCCTGGTTAACATCAGTGAAGTCAGGGAAGTATGGGAAGAAATGTGTGGCTAGATAACAATGAGGACAGCAGTTCCTGGATGGCATAATAGGATTCAGAAGTGTATGCATTTCACCTAGTTCAGACCCTGTATTAAGAAATGCTTTGACCCCGTATTAGGAAATGCTTTGACAGGAGGTAGAAAAATAGGATCTGGGACACAGAATGCAAAGGATCCTAGTGCAAAACCTCCATATTCGAGGTAGTGAAGAATCGTAAATCAGAATATCTGGAGAATGAATTCTCTAGGTCTCTCCTGAAGACCTTAAAATACAACAATCCTTCCATATGCAAAACATCAGCTAATGTTTCTTAAGTGAGTGCATCAATCATGAATTTTTCTCATGAGTATAAGGCTTTTATTTGAATAGCTAAGCAAATTAAGAATTTTAGAACAATAGTAATTTTATTTATAATGCCTAAAATAAAGCATAACAAGCATTATTTTAAAAATAACATTTCTAATTTTTCACAGTGGAAAATAAATCTAATGAAGAAATTCAATAAATTTCAGCTTTTATAGACCACCTAAAACAATGAGAGAAATCTAATATAGATATATGAATTCTACGTAGATACAAAGACATCATGAGAAAAACTATGTTTCTGAATTGGTTTGAACACAGGAAATATTTTTTGTGTACAGGACAAAGATGTCTGAAAGACAGAAAGATGCATATAACAGCCTTTCCCCAGCATCTCTACTGTGATCCAGTAGAAAAGCTTATATTCATGACCATTCTCAACAGTTACTTTTCTCCCACGCCCCCAAGCAGTGACTCTCCAATCTAAAATAAAGATACACAAGAGGTTGGTCTCGTTCTAGTTTTCCTTTCCTGTCATCAAATGATGTCATCTACATTGAGATGTCTTGGTTTGTGTCCTTGTGACTGAAGATATAAGAAAGCTTGGGAGGCCGAGGCGGGCGGATCACGAGGTCAGGACATCAAGACCATCCTGACTAACACGGTGAAACCCCGTCTCTACTAAAAATACAAAAAATTAACCAGGCGTAGTGGCGGGCGCCTGTAGTCCCAGCTACTCGGGAGGCTGAGGCAGGAGAATGGCGTGAACCCGGGAGGCGGAGCTTGCCGTGAGCCGAGATTGCGCCACTGCAGTCTAGCCTGGGCGAGAGAGGGCGACCCCGTCGCAAAAAAAAAAAAAAAAAAGATGCAAGAAACAAGAAAGCAAGTTTGCCACTGTCCATGCTTACAGGATTCATGTACACCTGGGAATATACATATGACATGAGTTGAGTGAAAATTTAGTAACACAAATTAGAAGAAAGAGAAAGATGAAAATTAGTTTAAAGGAGGTAATTTACTTAAGGAGGAAAGTTTTGCATTGAGGCATAAGGAAGTGACTTCCATTAATTGGTGTGAAATGGGGAGAATTTTATGTGCACAGGCATAGAGACGGACATGTTTAGGTGAAGGTGAAGAAAATTAGTTCAAGTGACCTTGATTAGAATTGAAATGTCCACCGTAGATTATAGAGATAGATGAACTAACTATGAACTGATGATTAGGGTGTAAAGAGATATCTCCATTGCCAGATATAGCCTTATACTGTGGACAAGCATATTTTTCCTGCAGAGATTTATCAAAGACCTATAAATGGTATTTGCCCCTCTTTCAAATATGACACAAAAATTACTGCTTAGATAGATCCAGAAATACATTGGAAAGTTTTGTGGATGAGGATCTGGAAAGTATACACATAAAAGTCTAAATTAGAAATATTTATACTAATCTTTAGAGTAATGCAGAAAAAATGACCACTTTCTCTGGTACTCTTTTGCTATTCTATGTGATAAACTCTTTCTCTTCCAGTTTCCTAAAAAGTTATGTCATGAAAAGGCTGAATTTTTCTCTAGAAAAATCTGCTCTGTCTTTCCCAGGCAGCATAAAAATTGGAAATCTCACAAGAAAGCACTCTGGCTTGCTAAAGAAATTTGTGAGAAATGGAAACAGCTATAGATAAGTATCTAACTTTTAGGAAGCCATTCAAACATTGCTGAAATACTTTGTCTTTTGATATTTGCCTGAAACTTAACTTCTAGGACCCAGGGTGGGTGGATGAGTCGAAGGGGCATACGGTGGCATTTCTTTCCGTGAGTCTCTTACAGTCTCCTATTTAAATTGAGTTAGGATTACTTCTGGCAAAATCCCAACATAAAAATCTTCTAGGAAGATCAGTTCTGTAAATTAGACATACTAGATAAATGGGCATCAAGCAGTTTTTCAAAATTATGCAGTTGTTAACTTCATAAGGGGAAATAAAAATGTATGCATTTACATTGTATGTATTAAAACAAGGCAGAGCATTTCTATACGTTCCTAAGTTATACAAACATATATGTAAGAGTGAAATATGTAAAAAAACTTTTACATAAGCAGATGCATACAAACTCCAGATGTGCTCTTTTTCTTACTGTGGGTTGTGTCTTCTATAAGGGAAAAAGAAATATTTATCATTTCTTTTACTGCTGAGGGGATGGGTGCGGCTCTCATATTTCAGAAAGGGGCTGGAAAGTGAGGGAAGCCAAACTTTTTCCTATTTAAGGCCAAAGCAAAGGAATCTCAGTGGCTGAGTTTTATGACGGGCCCGGTGCTGAAGGGCAGGGAACAACTTGATGGTGCTACTTTGAACTGCTTTTCTTTTCTCCTTTTTGCACAAAGAGTCTCATGTCTGATATTTAGACATGATGAGCTTTGTGCAAAAGGGGAGCTGGCTACTTCTCGCTCTGCTTCATCCCACTATTATTTTGGCACAACAGGAAGGTGAGTAGGTACTGATTTCAAGAAACTTTATGGGATTTTTGTCTTTCTT
This sequence comes from Homo sapiens, assembly GCF_000001405.40. NCBI lineage: Eukaryota > Metazoa > Chordata > Mammalia > Primates > Hominidae > Homo > Homo sapiens. Next base: position 188,974,618 of record NC_000002.12, read on the forward strand.
CTCCTCACAAAGAGGGGTGTAAAGGGGAAAATCAGTTGCCTGATTCAAGATAATTTCCTCTATAAGCTCCAGATTGTGAAACGTTGAACTGACCATGGCTGTGCTTTTTACATTACTTGAAAAATAATCGCGTTATGTGTGTTTTTAAGAGTTCTGTGGTTAAGATAAGATGTTCTTGTACTAACTTGTTTTCATGTTAAAGGCACTGGAAACTTTTAAAAATGGCTTTAAAATTTTTCCCTCCTGGATTGTTAACATCTTGGAATACTTCCCCAGGCAGTCTGGAAGTTATTGGTCTCTTGCAATAATTTTATGTTCCTCTTTGTCTGCTGGATTCTTTGTAAGGTTAGAATATTGAGCATTGTTTTCTGAATAAGAATGCCTTTCAAATATCATGGATTAAGAACAGTCTAAAGGAAGATTCTACGCATTATCAGAATCATTGAATATATTTCTGTAAAATGGCTACAAGATACCTATAAACATTCTTCAAAGGGATCAAACTGCTAAAATATTTTATTATTCCTGTTTTTATTTTGTTTCAAGAATGATTGATTAATTCATCTTTTCTAGTAGCTTGATATTAAGGGACTAATATTTTCCACATATTCTACGTTTTAACCACATTCGCATTAATGAAGAAAATATTTTTTAAAATGTTTCAACAGGAGGTTTGACTTTGCTGCAAACAAGGTAAAGATACTAGTACTGTTTGACTTCAGAAAGCTGTTTTGCTATATTTTCTAATAATTGCATGTAATGTTTTTCATATTCTAATTTCCCCTAAAAACACATTTGTCTCATTATTTATGTGAAAATATTCTTTTATTTACCATAGTCATGAAAATGCTGAACAAATTGGAATACAAACTTCCATAGAAATAAATATTTAAGTGCTAAATGTAAAGATAGCTAGGAGAAATTATTAGACAATTTTTATTGCACATAACTAAACATGGTTACATTTAAACATATAGATTTTGCAAAGGACACTGCATGAAAATTTGGTTTTTGTTTGTAATATCAAATGTATTTGTTGTCCTCATAGCTAATACATGTAAATGTGTGTATGAGGGGAGGGGTAGATATACAATGAAATGTCTTCAGTTATATTCAGCCCATGGACACAAAAGAAAAGAAACACCCATTTTCCTTGTTCCCTTAATTTCCTCTCCTCCTTACCCCTCCTCTCCTTCGCTTTGCCCTCCTCCTTATCTCTCTCCACCCCTTTTGGCTCCTTTAGACTTCTCTTCACTCATCACCCCACCCCTTCCTAGGCAAGCCCATATCTACTCCTCTCTCCTCCTCTGTCTTCCCTGCCTGTTACTCCCTCCCTACTCCCCATGTGGCCTCCTTATGCCTCCATTTCTTTTTTTTAGTTCTCTCTCTCCTTGCCTCCTCACCCTTTCTTTCCCCTGAACTCTCAATCCTTCTTCCTTTCTCATTCCTCTCCCCTTTTCCTCCCTATCCTGCTCTTCCCAGGAGATGCTACAACTCACAGTCCTTTTTTAGGATACCAAATGACTACTATCCCCCACCAACCATTTATTGAAAAGACTACAAACTTAGGGGTTTTAGCTCAAAAAATTGCAACATATTTGTAGTTGCCTCGTGGTTGCAAGCTTTTTATAAGCACTGTGGCTATTTTTCTTCCCAATCCAACTTTAGTGGGGGGGTGTTTGCCACTTACAGTACCTTGACATCACATTAAGTTCTGTTTATTTCCCTCTTTCTCTTTAGATGCAAAAAATAATCAATAAGTATAAAATTTTGCTGATATGTGTTTGTGTGTTCTTAAGCTCAAAAAGAGTTGAAAGAGAACTGTTCAGCCTATTTTTTTTGTCATGAGTAAAAGTAAAGTTGAAGTGACTTAAGACAGTACATCTTATGTTCCCTGTGGGTTTTACAAGGAAATTCTGCTATTAGATAAGCTTTGGAAAAGTTACAGGAGGTATCTGAATATACAGCACACTGAGAGCTGTCATAAAGTTCTGGGGTGGGGTTTCTTATATATGCCCTCATAACTTCAGAGACGGCACAGCTCTAATGAACACTCACTTCTAGTTCACTCACAGGCATTTTCTGGATACAAACAAGTCCTCAAAAAGAATTTTGGTCGTCTTACAAATTTGTGAACATTGTATTTAATTCATGTGTTTTAATCCACCAATGGAGAAACATAGTCTGTTTTATATTTCCTGTAGATTATAAACATGCCAAGTTTTAAGTACAAAGATGCGTCACCTAGTGGCTGACAAGCCAGGTTACCATTTACATAACGAATGCCAATATTAATGTTATGTAGCTGGCTTTGGTAGTTTATAATGAGCTTTAAAAAATTCATATGCGTGAATTTTAAATGTTAACACTGCTCTCCTAAGGAAATTAGTATGTTACGGATAAATATTGCAAACACATATACTGACACGAAAACACAATGGTAACAATATTCAGAGTCTTTTTGGAAATTAGCTTAAATGTTACGGCCACTTAAAAATTCTACATATGACTATTGTTTAAATACATTTTTCATGTCTCTGATGTAGTCCTTATTTGACATAAGTATTTTATTCACTGCTTAATTGTTAGATAGATTATAGACAGCTGTTACTAAGTAATACTGCTCCATTAGGGCAGAAACAGAAACTTTATTTTAATTAAATGTGTACTAATGTTTGAGTTTCTATATTTTGCTACAGTGATAATTCCAGTAAAATAAACTGTAGGCCTCTAGTTGTTTTAGAATTTTAAAACTGTAAATGGACTCAGAGAATCAGTTTCTTATTAGACGTCATGAGAGTATATTTTTTTCATTATGCTTTAAGAGGGAATTTGTAACTTGCTCAGGTAACATTCAAGTTTTCTGGTTTGTGTTTGTCCCTACAATTAAACACACTGAACTAACAGGAAAAGGTTACATACATTTAGGAACAATTGCACTTTTAAAGGGAGAGAATGCATAGTTGCTCACATATCTCAGTGTCAGTCACCTAACATGGATCAGTGCTTTATTTGAGATTACAAAACTAGAAAATGACGGAGTCAAGGCTAGGACCAATATTCTGTTCAGTCTTAGATAATTATAGAATACACATTAAAATCAGATATTTGAATTTTCTTAATTTTGTAACTATTTGTCATTGAAAGGAGATACTAAAAAAATTATATATCGTCCTAGAAAGTACATGAACTAATAATGCATTTCTAAAGGTGAAAAAAGAATAGGTATTTTTCTGTTTAATATTCAATTTTATAGAGAGTAGTACGTTAATTTTTTTAAACCCCAGAAGCTCAGGATCTTATCATTTTAAAAGAAATTATCACCAGTTCTGTGTGAGTAAATAAAGTATTATAACACTTTGTGTTTTTCATCCATGATACCTTGTATTTACTTACCTGAGCTTTTTTTCTAGGGAAAGAAAAATGCTCAGGTAATAACAGAGCCTTGAAAAATTTGGATTTTCAAAACTACCTATTTATGTATAGGCCTTTAGATCATCTGATGTTGAATACTCTTTAAGTGATCTAAAGGCCTACATATAAAAAGGTATTTTTATTAAATTCTGGAATTAAACATTTCAGCATTACAAGAAAAGAAAGCAAATCCACTGGAACAATTCTGGGAAAGAAGGAAAGACTGTGATTAAATGCCTCTTAACTACTTCAGATTCCTGGATTGATGTCTTATCTACAGGCTTCTTTTTAAAAATCAAGAATGATTGGCTGTGAGTTTACCAGGATTATAGTTGAGGCTAAAGGACAGCTCCTCAGGAAAGCCCCTGTTCTACATCTACGGTCACATGCTGGACCTTGAGTTGTCACTCAGAGAAAAGAGTGCCATCTACCGAAACTCCACAGTTTCCATTGTGAATGGCTTCTTTGGTGCAGAGTTCCAAAAATTATGTAGCCCAGCTCTTTAATTTTGTAACATCTAATGATATCACCGCCTTGAAGTGATTAAAGTAGATTGCTTAAAGAATTAAAGCTTTAAAGATGAAAGATGTTATTGCTTTTGCTGGACATGAGGAACAGTTGTAAAGTTTCCAGGTCTACAATAACTTTCTGGAACCCTCTCAGTGAACTGTTTCTTGTAAAAGTTTTCCCTAAGATAAAAGCTCAATCCCATTGTTTCCACACTCAAAAAAAAAAAAAAAAAAAAGATCATATAGTGTAAAAAAAAACTCTCCAGACTTTTCAAAGGGGAAACTTTGCCTGTTTCATGTCAAGATGACAACGGAAAAAATGAGATAGCTATTCTTACATAAATCATTTGTGAACTGCAGTTGGGGGAGTTACATTAACCACCAGAGTTTCAGTCTGTGTCTAATGAAAACACAGCAGAAGTGGATTCCTTTCAGATTAACTAATAAAACCCTTGTTTTTTTCCATGACTGAGGTCAAGCACTGCTGTTTAAAATGTAGTCTTAATGAACAAAATGAAACGTTGAAAGAGGACGAGTCAAAATGCCCAAAAGATGTAAACATCAAAGAGAAAAGATCCAGAAATTATTAAAAGTTAAACTTCCCTTGAATTCTAGTATTAAGAAAGTACTGCTTCAGTAAAATGGCATATATTTTTCTGAAACTGTTTTTCTATAGTATTTTGTGTGGAGGATGACAGAGACTGCATTTCTCAAGTAAATTAAAATCACAGAAATACTCTTTGGAGTTGCATAGCATGTTCACAACGTTCCAGTTTCATTCAGTGAAAACTTCTGATGAACTTAGATGTATATTAACATGAATCATTTAGTAACTATATTTTCTGAAAAACAGTGTGTTAATGAGACATCTTAAACATATTTTTGCATTGGATGCAGAAGTCTTTTCTGTCTGGTACTATTGTTGTTAGAACCCTACTTTTTTGTATATAGCAAAATGTATGCAGGGTTTCTGAGTCACACATTTATTCTGTTGGTGGTCTGGATGTCATCAGGGTAGCTTTAGAGATATAACCCTTCTTCATAAGGTCAAGAGAAAATAAACAGGAGAATTTAACTCCAGATGGCATCTTCCTGTTTTGAGGCCAGATAGAAAAATATTTTGCAAAGAACTGTTGTCCTTCAAAATATACCTATCTAGATTCAGATTTTAACCTTGCAGGGATAAAAAATCATATGGGACAGAGCTTTGGAGTTGGCTTCTTTAATCGTACTCAGTTTTGAAATAGCAGAAAGAAAATAGAATGCAGTAATTAAGAGTATCAAATTTAGAGAAAGCCTTCTTACACTCAGATCTTCTTTTTCACCCTGACTGTGTAACCTTGGGAAAATTACTTAATGTTTCTGCAGTTAAGATTCCTCATCTGTAAAATTAGGATTATGACAGCTGTAAGCTCATAAGGCCTTTGGGAGTATGAAGCAAAATAGATATTCAAACTACTCAGAGCAGTCCCTACAAGATAGGAGGTACTATAGCACTAGTTTTACTAACGCTGGCAAATAAAATTACTCTAAGGAAGAAATTAAAGTACTTAGTAACTTAGTGATAAGGATGGTGAAATGTAAAATTTTATTTATAAGACTATACAATTTAAAGTTGTTTGCCAAATGTAATAAGACAAGTAGAATATATTCTCTTCAATGTTTTTATAATTTGACACTAAGAAGATTTTATTATATATGCAATTGCTGGTGGTTAGATATATGATACTTAAAATTTTCTAATTATCTAATTATTTTTATTTTTAACAGGATAAAATATTAATCAACTTAAAGGACATTTCTAAGGAGATTGAATTCTAAAAGATTAATCTTTTAGACAATTCTAAAAGATTAATCTTTTAGACAATTCTAAAAGATTAATCTTTTAGACAATTCTAAAAGATTAATCTTTTAGACAATTCTAAAAGATTAATTGAATTCTAAAAGATTAATCAACTTAAAGGACATTTCTAAGGAGATTGAAAAAGCATATATCTATAAAATATGAAACAAGAAAATATCTACAAATGATAATTTATCAACTTTTTTTCCTGGAGGTAGCAAGAATAAATAAAATCTTATTTTCTATGCAAAACAGTGCTTTTAAATTAAAATTATTCACCTAGAATGTCTACAGATACTTTCTTCAGAGTCCTTTTTGTTAAGTAATCTAACATATTTTAAGATACTCTGATAAATACATAAGCAGCAGAAAAAATATTTTATTAAAATTTATGTTTTCCAAACAATATCATTTAAAAGGCAAACCAAACATTATTTCAATTGGAAACTATATGAATGCCAAATACCCACATGTACAAAATATTCAGCTTTCTAAAGTAATGAAAATAATTATGATAATTTATATATCATATCTGTGATTCTTAGATTTTCAGATTATACAACATCTTTTCCCAGATAAGGATTTAGTAAGAAGAGAAAAGGAAAAAACATTCACTTTTCATTCAAGCCAAATTAATTAATTTAATTAGGTGCTTTAGGGAATAATATTATTGCTCCAAAAATAGTATTAAGACAAACATAACATTCATTTTTTGTCCAAACAATATGATTTCTTCAAGTCAGCATGATTTAACATGAAGAATGGAAACAAAAAAATCACAAAATAGTAAGCTTTATGCACATCTAAAAATATAAAATTATGTTATTTGGCTTTATTTTTCTCTAAAATTCCAAAATAGAAAACTAGGAAAGAAGCAGCTAAGAGTGGTTTAAGACATGTGTTAGCTTCAATATGTTTTATATTATAGATCCCAGCAAGGAGATGATTGAGTTTAATACATTGCTTGTGTGATCACAAGTAAATTTCTTTCAGAATTGTACTTCGTAGTAAGGAACAGAAACACCAAATGACATGGGAGATGGAATTTAAAATTAATTATAAATTGGAACAGAGAGATTTAGTTTAAACAACTAAAATAATGGAAATAATTGGAAAGTCCATTACTTTTCAATAGTAGAATGAAATTATTTGCCTTTTATTTAATATTTTTGGAAAAAATTAACTTATTTTTTTAACCGAAGCTACTCTGAATGCAGATATCTAAGAAATGAAGAGAATAATATGAGATGACTTACTTCTAAATCCCATTTTCTATTCTATTTCTAAATGTTGCAAATGGCTAACTAGAGCATTTTTATTCCTCTAGAAACAAAACATTCTTTTCCTTGACTTTGCCATGATTTTCGCACATATTACTAGGTATTAAATGAAGGTCCATGAAACATCAATCTAAGAGCTTTAACTTTCAGTAGAATATATTGCTAACTATATTTTGTCATGCATGGAATAATAAAGGAAGCTATACAAAACTATTTTTTTCAGCAAAGGTAACTAAGGTAGAAAAACAGAGAAAGGGCTAATTTTCAGCCACAAGTTTTTACAGGAACTGACTTCTCAGGAGAGCCAAATTTATTTCAAGTGGATGTGAAATAAGTTATGGCAATAAATAAAGTTGCATTAATTCTTATTTTTTAAACATTCCAACTCTCTTTTTTTTACTTAAAACAATATGACTTTCTAAAGTAAAACAAAACATACATGCACCATGTTGACTGTCATGTGCAGGTGAGAAGAGAAAAATATTTTAAGAATATGATAATTTTTAAAATTGCACTAAAATAATCTTTATATTGAGGCCTCCGTGTTTTAAAAAGTACTATAATATGTTTCTAATAAAATTTAGAAACAATAAGCTAAATAACAACGTTAATACTTATAACATTGCATTTGACCCAATTTTAACAAACTCATTTACAATTTTAATAAGTCAATATTGTGCTCATTTATTTAATAATTAGCAGAACAAATGGAAAGTACTGTATTTCTAATGATGTGAGGACACCCTTAATGAGACATAAACATAGGAGGATGAATACACAGGAGGGAAAAGTATTTATGTTAATTTCTAGGCAGATCAAGAACATATAGAAGATACTTAAAATAGGAAATGTTTGAGCCTAGCTTTAACTATTATCTTCATTTGTCTTTAATATGCCTTTAGTATTCAATGGCTGTTTTTCATAATCCACGTGCTGTATTAAGTGTGAAAAGATATGCCTGATCCAGAGGCAATGAGCTAAAAGAATCATCTGTACAATCTAACAATGCTTTTGAGGATGGATCTGGAGGGCTTAAAATACACATTATTAATGGGAAAATCTTGGGCTGAAACTAATCTGTAGGAATATTTCATATAAAGTTGATTTGGAGAAAATTTTTAAGTGGTTCATTTTGAGAAAAGGAACCAATGTAATTACAGTGTTCCATGTAATTTTACTGCACAATCTTCCAAACCCAAATTTTCGGACCTTTTCTGCAGACTGGTGAACTTAGTACTTAAATATGAAACGCCAGTTCTGTCTAGAGAACAAAATGAGTTTAATGCATAGACTCACCTGTTATTACTCTTCACACCAATGTGTAAATGACTGTTTGCTCTTCTATTAAATATATTTTCCGTAACACCATTCAAATAGGCCTACTTCATTTCCACTGAGATAAGCATTTTGGTATTCAGCTTTTATATTCACTAAGAATTAAGAAATGCTGTTTTAAAAGCTTAGGAAATGTATATAGAAAATATATCCCATGTTCTCATATATGTGTTTCAGACATAGGGGAGGAATTAGAATAAATTTTCTAAATAAACAAATTATTTGCCTACTTAAAATTGCAATTAAAAAATGAAGCTTTCCTTCGTTAGCTGTAAACTACATTGAGAAATTGTAACATAAAAAAGAATGGATTTTTAAAACTTCTTGAGTAGATCAAGTGTCTTGTACAATATCATTAAATTTGTATCAGAACACATAAATGGAAATGAGGTGGGGAAGCAATTGCAGTACTTTCTAGAGTCTAGGTTTTGAAATTCTTTTTGGTGAACATTTACTAAATCAGCTAAACATTTCAACTCATTTAAACACAAACCTAAATTATTATTACCCTAGACAGAGAGATGATATAGCAACGGGACCTCGAAAAGGTGATCTTTTGTGGCTGCATGTAGTGCCCAGATGGAAAAATCTTAGGACCACTAAAAGGCCTCTTGACCACTAGGCGGCAAAAACTAATTTTGAACTACTTGCCTACTCGGTAGCAGGCCTCTTTCAATAGACATTTTAAATATCTTGGCTTTGAGAAAATAAAAATTTCACCATCTCACAAAAATATAAATTACTGAACAGTACATCATTTGTTGTTTGCAAAAATTTTTGCAGATGCTTAGAAACTTATTATTTATTTACTCAATTACTGGCAAACTATCATACTAATTGTCAAGAACTAAAGTTGTATTTAACCACAATACACAGCTAATGCCTTAAGAATTGAGACCAGGTTTTGTTTTGGCAATTCCTAAGCTGATTCATAGTTAATAGCTGCTGAAATTTCAGTACCTTGTATATAATTATGAAGCAAGTCTAAAATTTTGGTTGAAGCAATTTTTTTTACCATTTTAAGCCACAAATACAGATGGTTATGATTCATATTTTCCCTATTATTTTTACTTATTCCTTGCCAATGTTTATTTTAAAAACATCTTTTTCTTTTCTTTTTGGTGATTTGGAAATGTCTTTACATCCATATGGGATATACAATATATTATGTCATATCATGTTGAGCTACTAATGCCAAATAGAGCTAACAGTGACATTCAATACACATAATAAGTTCTGTTAAAACTTTCCCAGGAAAATCTGGTAGAGTTTTATGCTGCCAAGATTAGCTCAGTTTTCCCCTGAATTTCTCAACTAGGTTGATAAAATCCAGAAAGTCTTCAGAGTTAGTGACAAAATCATCTCTTTAGTTTAATGCTCCCATCTGCTGTTAAGGCAAAGAATAGCAATTGGGTAGAAGAGCTTATTTTCAATGTTCCTTTAATAAATAAATGTTTAAATGCTTGTGTGATATACATTGATGTTAATTCTTACTATAAATGAAATTAAAATATCTGCTGGTCTTAAGGAAAATTGACTATGGTGTGCCAATTTTATGTTAACAAGCAGATATGATATTTTAATTAATTTCTTGCTACTTAGCAAATTACATAGGGCAAGTATAATTTTCTAATGAAAGGAAGAAATTATTTGTTTCAAACCTTTTCAACTTTGGCTATTGTTAATAGTCCTAACAGAGTAACAAAAATCACCTTTCAGCAAAACCTAAGGAAACTTCACGTCATCTAACTTGTTTTTCAGCTGTTGAAGGAGGATGTTCCCATCTTGGTCAGTCCTATGCGGATAGAGATGTCTGGAAGCCAGAACCATGCCAAATATGTGTCTGTGACTCAGGATCCGTTCTCTGCGATGACATAATATGTGACGATCAAGAATTAGACTGCCCCAACCCAGAAATTCCATTTGGAGAATGTTGTGCAGTTTGCCCACAGCCTCCAACTGCTGTGAGTTTAAAGATAAACTGTACATCTTCAATATTCATATTTAGACACATGAATAGCTCCTATATCATAGGAGCCTAAAAGGGAATGAAAGTCATGTTCATCAAATAGCCATGTTTGTATTACGAGTAAAAAGTGACCGTTTCAATTTAAAGATAAGGATTGGTTAGAATCTGGGTTACTAAATAATATGCAAATTCTGTGTCTTGTTTAACTTGTTTCTTTTCCATTTATTAGCCTACTCGCCCTCCTAATGGTCAAGGACCTCAAGGCCCCAAGGGAGATCCAGTAAGTAAACATTCTTCAGTAGAATAAAATTAATACTAATGATAATTCTAGTAAGAGTTTGCTTTTTCTAGATTTGAGCTTTCATCATACATTCTCTTCATTACCACATATTTGAATAATGGCACCAAACAACAGACTGAGAATCCATAATTGTACGTGTAAAGATTTCAATTTCCCAAACTTCATATTATGTCTTCACCCCCATGATCAGTTTAAAGAAAATGTGTAGGTCAATATACAAAGGAATACATTATACTTAAATTATTCACAAGATTTTGATTAAAAAGTATGTGTTATAAAGAAAATATATTACTTATATTGTTTCCTAATATTATAAAGTAGAGAAACAACAATCTGATAATGATTGTGAATCACCAGGATTTTTCACTATTTAATTTATTTTTATCTCTTTTTTAGGGCCCTCCTGGTATTCCTGGGAGAAATGGTGACCCTGGTATTCCAGGACAACCAGGGTCCCCTGGTTCTCCTGGCCCCCCTGGAATCTGTGAATCATGCCCTACTGGTCCTCAGGTATAACAATTACGGTACTTAAAAAATTCCCTCATAAAACTATCTAGTTCATCTTCTTTCTTTACTCGATATTACGTCTCACTATTATGAGTTCTTTGTATCTGTTCTCTGATTCAGTGTATTTAATAAATCCTTATTTAGTGCTTCTATGTATTAGGCACTATTCTAAGTACTTTATAAGTATTCATTTTTCCTCATAATGCTAATGTCATTGCTACTATATCCTTGGAAAATTTGCTAATTTCTCAGCAGATATATAGCATACACATTATGTTTAAGAAGTGAACTATGAACTTAACAAAAAAAATTAACCTAAATAATTTAGTTAGTACTGTATCCATACTTTATTCTCCTACTAATACCAATGTCAAAGCCTCTAAAAGTTTAGACAAAAAGAAGTTGAAGAACTGTTAGTATTCCTATTGAACAGGATTATTTCTGCCTATGAAACTGCTCTTGCTAATACTTCAGAGCACACCTTGCTTCTCCTGAAGCATGGCAGCCAAATAAATCTGCAGGTAAAACAACCAAACAAATAAATATGACAAAATTTCTGTTGCATGGAATTAGGTGAAACGAGAAAATATATTACACAAATTTTTGTGAGGTTAAAAAGTGCATTTCAAAAAGCAATTCAACAAGAACCAAAGTATATTGTCTAAGTTATTCTTATTCTAGTAACCAAACAGAACCTAACTCTAGACCTGGAACTTAGAATTTAAAAAAAGCTTCAAAGAAATCTAATAAGCATATGAGCCTTTCTACTATTTTTTGGTTTATTTTCTATGGAGATGTTTATTTTTGAGTGAATCTTTTAGTCATATTAACCAGAATCCAGGGGATATGAATTTTACTTGTATCATTAAGTGTTTGAAAAATAATTTGACTTCATTTTTTTGCTCAAAATGAGAAGGTGTATTATATGATCTCGAGACTCTTTTGGCCTCAAACAGCCTATGATCCTATGTTTGTAATGATGTAGCTACTGCTTAGAAATAATAGCTTAAGTAAGCGCATAATAGGAAAAATTGGGGGGAACTAACATTGAACACAGTGGAAAGATTTGTGCATCCCACAAGAAAATGCTTCTGTAGGATATCTAACGTCTAAATCTACAGAAAGACACGATAAACAAGATAATTAGTGAATACATACCACATCTTTTGGCACACAAAAACCTATCAGTAGACAGTAGATGTTGCATGCACTTCTAAATGCTTTTTAAAAGAATTATGAACTGTCTGTTAAAATGATCATATCTATTTGTCTCCTTGCCACAGAACTATTCTCCCCAGTATGATTCATATGATGTCAAGTCTGGAGTAGCAGTAGGAGGACTCGCAGGCTATCCTGGACCAGCTGTACGTACAAATGTTTCTCAGCATTTTGGAGCTTTATTATCTTTCTGGTTTGTAAAATCTTGAATGGTTGCTCTTCTAGGAATTCAGTATTTTTATGGAATTGTACAAAATAGCTTACCCCTACTAAGGTTGGAAAAGAAAATGGTAGCATTATCATGTTCTTTCTATCTTATTCATATTATTAAACCTATTTTTAATCACATATAAATTTTTACTAAAAAAAAAAACCAAAGTCAACACTTATTAACATCTCAGAAAAGTGTTTATAAGAGAAAATGGAAATATACAAACTATTGTTTTATAAATTTACTATCAGTATTTAGAAACAGCATGTTACAAAACTGAAGCATACTGTTTTCAGCTTGCTGAAGGTTTTCTAGTTTAATCTGTATTTCTGAACAATGATAAATCAATTGTCCTATGTATGATGATTCTTGCATGATCATATAAATCTCTATGTCAATTAACTCTGTGATAGATATATCAACATAATTATGGGACTTTTGGGTTGATTTACATTATTATTTTAGATACTTGATTATAGGATTTCTAGTGTGCCAATAAATGTTTTTCTGCACTGAGTTTGGCTGCCAAGCGAGAAATTGCTTCTTCACCAGTGCAATATAACCCTAACATTGCAGGGATTTTCATAGCATTATGTACTAGTTTTTCCAGATTTTTAATTCCCTTCCTTAAGAGTTCAGGACAACATTTTATAACATTTATTAATAATTTATATAGAATCTGTGAGAATTTCATTACAGTAATGTTTGCTTGCTAAGATCTTCATTATAGATCTCATGAATAGTTATCAAAAAGTTATCAAAAGATGAGATATAGTTGTTCATAGTTTTAACAATGCGAGTGTCATTGCTTTGAAGCATGGATAAAGTGTATTTTGCATTCATTTATTTTGTTTTTCATTCAAATTCACATTCCAGGGCCCCCCAGGCCCTCCCGGTCCCCCTGGTACATCTGGTCATCCTGGTTCCCCTGTAAGTATAGCCATTGGTGGTGTTTTCTTCCTCATTTTTAGAAAAATCAAATTAATATATATTCTGCTATAATTCAGCCATTCCAGCATGCATAATCCCAGTTAACTAGAGAAATCATAACCAAGAAACTGATTAAGGCTTCAAAGATGGAATTCCATATTTAATTCCTTTCCACCAACAGTTATTAGCAATTGAAATCTTGGTAAAATTAAACCACATTAATTTGCATGTAATATGACTTTTAGTTCAAAACCATTCAGTTTTGATGGATTGCAATGAATGGAATGAAATACATTAACTTCATTCTGATCTAAAAATAATTTGGTCTCAATATTTATAAACTGGAGTAAAATTTGCTGATTACATTCACAATCCTGATTTCTTACTGTCAAGATGTAAATGAATTATATGAAGATTTTGTTACTTTAAAATTATTTACATATTCTACTCACTAGGGATCTCCAGGATACCAAGGACCCCCTGGTGAACCTGGGCAAGCTGGTCCTTCAGTAAGTAACAATTAAATTTATATTTAGTAAGTCGATAATTCCATATGGAACCTACCTTTGTTTTCTAAAACAAGTATAGGTCTTTACAGAATGAAGATTAAATTTACCCTTAAGTTTGTAAATAACGAATAGCATTTTATTGAGTCTTTTGGACTCTTTCAATTGTTAGCTATCTTAGAGACACTAGTTAATAAAGGAATTCCCTCATCATTAGCCATCAAAATAGTCCACTTCCCAGAGCTGATAAAAATTCTGTATATATTAAATATAGATTTCATTTTTCTGTAAACACTCAGTTCACTCATATCTAATCTACTGATAAATATAGTTATATATTTACATATGTAAATATACATATACATATATCTTAGACAGTAGAAATAAACATAATCTTAGAGAGTCCTTTAGAAGGATATGCTCTGTAAATAAGCAAGTAAAATAGTTTAAATACAACATTTCATGACATTTAGAAATACCTTTATATTTAGATATATTTAATATTCCTAAACGTGTAGAAATGCATTTGGATTTATAAATACACATACGTAATATATGATGCTTTTAATTTTTATTAACAGTAAGTTGATATAATAGAGGTATAATATTAACTCAGTAAGTATCATTTTCATTATCAGAAACATTAAAAGTATTTTCTAAAAGGAGGTTCCTTCCAGGAATACATACACTGTGTAATAATAAATTGTAACAGAAAAATTTACAAATCTATTCATTTTTTATTTCCTTATTTTCAGGGCCCTCCAGGACCTCCTGGTGCTATAGGTCCATCTGGTCCTGCTGGAAAAGATGTAAGTTTTTAAAACTTAAATAAGAATACAGCAAAATTTAACTTGGTGTATTCTAAACAGTATATGCTTTATGTCAGAATCCCAGAAGAAAAAAAAATGTTATTCAAAATATTGTTGTCTTAACAACATTTTAGTTAATACTAATTTTTGAGTAGCTATACAGTATTTGCGTTTCTATATATATCATTTGTTGAATTCCAAAATAAAATCCTTAAAGTGCTTTTTGACTGCGGAGAAGACTCATCCATTGAATATATTATTTAACTGGAGGAGAAATAGGTGTCTCTGCCTGCCTCTTTTAATGATGAAATTGATACCACTATTTAATGAACTTGAGAAGTTATAGATACCTTCAATTCAATGGCATTCCTTCTTTCCCTCTTAATCTCCAATGGCAAATTCTTTTCACTGGCTTATGTTATTTCAGTGATTAGAAGCACCTGCATTATCTCTTTATAAGCTTATATCAAAGTGGGAAAGGTCTTCCTCATGCCTTCTACCAAGAAAGCTGATCTCAACTATACATTTTGTGGAACCATTTTAATGAGTCCTTTGTGAGAAAAATGCAAAGTAACCATTTTGCTTATTGGCTACAATGTATTTTCTCATACATGAGCACCTACGTATTCTTTATTTCTCTACCTAGGGAGAATCAGGTAGACCCGGACGACCTGGAGAGCGAGGATTGCCTGGACCTCCAGTGAGTCTTCAGCATCTAATAAATTAATTGGAATAATCTTAGCTTGAAAACTATTATGTAATTCAATGGAATTAAACTTAAAAACAGAAAGTGTTTTACTACTAGATTGTGATTCTATTTGAAGGTTCATTAATATTTTTTCATTCATTATTTTTAGGGTATCAAAGGTCCAGCTGGGATACCTGGATTCCCTGGTATGAAAGGACACAGAGTAAGTAGAGTTTCTAAGTTGTTTACAAGGTATTCCACTGGGCTATGTTTACTTGCCTAACCAATTTTACTGGACAATTATGTGCCAAAAAATATGATTCTGACAATTAATTAATTTGATATTTTTAAGTCTACTAAGTTTGTTTGTTGACCAAACTAGTCATTTTTTGCAAAATAAAGGAGTTGATTTCTAGTGTATAAAGTACTCTTGAAAAATATCGTTTTCTTACTACCACTATCAGAAAAATAAAAACATTTTGTGAATTATGTTTTTTATTGACTTAATATGATTTATAGATTGAGTTGAACAACTTTATTCTATGCAAAATATTTCGTACATTCAACCAACTGTGCCTACAACCTATCAACTGAATTATAATAAAATCTATGAAACTCATGTTTGCTACTCTATAGTTAAGGCAACTTTCTTATCAGACTAAATTGCACTTTCTAGTTTTCATGTTTTCCTGTTGTAAAATCAGTATGAAATATCTTCAACCCCTTTAAACAAGTTTTAAATTATTTAAGCTAATTTTGCAAGTAGTGTTATGAAGACCAATTAGAAAAATACCATGTAAACTTTATCAATCATTCTAGATTATTAACAGATTTTAATAATTTTGCTGGTTTTATACATTTCCTAGGGCTTCGATGGACGAAATGGAGAAAAGGGTGAAACAGGTGCTCCTGGATTAAAGGTAAATCACAACAAAAATCATATTTTCATAAGTAAATTCATTAAATATTAAAGCTACATATAAGATTCATATTGTGAGCCTTAACTTGTTTTCTGAAATTTACCTGAATTTTACCTATTAGGTGTGAATAATGGTAACCAATTCAGATATTCTATTAACGCTTCCATGAAAAATGACAACTTGAAGAGTCTAGATTAGAAATAGTTGAGCATCTTAGTATAACTTATCAATTACTTCACTTTAGTCTTTAAGTTTTTAAATACAGAAATTGAGATTTCTGGTAAATAAAATACTAACAGAAAATTAATATTGTTAAAATGTATATCTTTTTCTAGGCTCTATAAACTTTTCCATAATATTCTGTATTTAAAAATATATAATATTTTCTTCCTCTTTTGTAAAATAGTAACATATTTTATATGTATCTAGGGTGAAAATGGTCTTCCAGGCGAAAATGGAGCTCCTGGACCCATGGTAATTATGTTTCTTATGTATAATTTTCAGTTTTATTATTAACCTCATTGTTACCTAAAACTGGCTTTGCTCCCACCCCAACTGTTCTTACACATGTCAAGATTAGAGTAAAACCATATTTCAATTTTACTCTGTAGGGTCCAAGAGGGGCTCCTGGTGAGCGAGGACGGCCAGGACTTCCTGGGGCTGCAGTGAGTATAGCTGCTAACATCACACAATTACAACCCAAAGTGACAGATTTTTACAGCCTCAGTAAAGTTTCAGGCTGTAAAAATATGTTAGGAAAAAGACCTTCCTACAAAATTATACTCAATGATACTGTGATAAAGTTTTGGCTATAGTTAAAAGGAAATGAATAATTGTTTTACAATTATTATCTCTATTGAGAATTTTTGTGTTAACTTTTCATATGTCATTTGAGCCATTATATCTGCATTCAGTCCTGAAAACACAGACTCCAATCCTTCTACATTTGATTGTTGCTGTATATATCAGAATTGTAATAATTGACTTTAAAATACATAATTATTAAGCAGATTTTAATGTACTTGAAGAAAACTCAACTCACTTGAGTCAGAATTTTGGTCAAAATATTACTCATGACCAGCCATTCAGAATTAAAAGGATATTTGATGTAAACTTCTCTTTTTAGGGTGCTCGGGGTAATGACGGTGCTCGAGGCAGTGATGGTCAACCAGTAAGTAACTTTCTATCTCTTATGTGTTGTAGGGTAATGAGAAGTTATGGATTGTGGATTATTTAATATTTTATATATGTATATACTCTTAGGTATATATATATGCATATGTATATCTCTAATATACACATTAGCATCTCTGTTGACCATTTTTACAATTTAAAAAGTGAAAAAATATTGTAGCCCCAATACTTAATATTGTATATACACTCCTGTGATTAAAACTGACACTGAGCCCATAAACAAAATCTAGGTTCTGACACTCATTCTGCTTGATCAACTGCTAACATTTGAATGGTGCTCCCAATGTTAGTTAATATCCTATGTAAGACATGGCACTTTAAAGAGTCCTACAAAATGGATAAAATAGATGTTACCTCCATTTTGTAGACTGGAGTACAAAAGCCCAGGGAAAAGTAGCCTGCACTAAGTCACAGAATTCATGGCAAAGTAGGGAGAAACCAAGAATTTCTAACTTTAGATTTCACTCTTTTCTTATTTTACCACATTGTTTCTCTACATAATATCCATAAAATATGAATATCATTTTTATCTGCATAAATATCTTCTTTACTTTATATGTGCTCACTTATTTACTAGTATGTCAGCTTTCATTTAGTTGAAAAAGAGCTCTTGAAATTGTATTTAATTTTTTCAGGGCCCTCCTGGTCCTCCTGGAACTGCCGGATTCCCTGGATCCCCTGGTGCTAAGGTAAACATGTGTTTCTATAGAAGGGTATAAAAATATCTTGGAGGCAAGAGAAAAGCATTAGATTGCTTCTTGCAACTGATTTTTTTAATCAGTCAAATGGATAGCTTTTATCTATACATGTCTTTAAAGCCCTATTCTTGATTCTAAAAGAGGTGTTGTCCCTAGTATTCAACTATCTTGATATTTCTTCTGCTACCTTCTTTTTTTCCCCAGACTCTTTCTAGGAAACTGATAATGCAATCACACACACATAGTTACATTTTTCTCTGCCTTTACGATTAATGATTCCTTGCTTTACCTGCAGTATAGAGTCCCACTACTCCAACTTTTGGGAGATGTGTTTAAACAGGACTGAAGGGTGAAGTGGCTAAGTGAGTAGAAGTGGTAAGAGAAACTGACTACACAAGGTTTTACCATTAGGGTGAAGTTGGACCTGCAGGGTCTCCTGGTTCAAATGGTGCCCCTGGACAAAGAGGAGAACCTGGACCTCAGGGACACGCTGGTGCTCAAGGTCCTCCTGTAAGTATCATAGTTGAGAGGGAGTAAGCATAGTTTCATGCTTACTCCATGAAAGCATAGTTTCATGCTTACTCCATGAAAGCATGTGCTTCAATATGGCTATCAGTGAAAATTACTTTGAAAAAATTGTTGCTTAGTGCTCTAAAATGATCCTCCTGTGACACATACTGATTTGATTAGTAGTAAAAATGATAGTTTTTGACTGTTGCACTATTCCAGAATTCATGATTTTTTATGTTTATATAAAAGAATAGAGGATAGACTAGTTTTCTGATGCTTTCAAGAATGTGCCCCAAGCTAATCACCAATCATAAAAATTCAGAGAAGAACCAAATTCAAAATCTCTTCTATTTATGTATCATTTAATAATTTATACGAAGTACATATTATCTCTAATTTATTTAGATAATGATGATTCTTTTGACCACATTTCATATGTTGTGTTATAGTTGGAGGATTCACTTAATCTCTACAAAGCATAACACTCATCGATACATTTATTTTCACACAAACAACTTCAAATATATACGAACTATTTGCATTACTATTAATACATTATCTGTTTTTTGTATACTTAGGGCCCTCCTGGGATTAATGGTAGTCCTGGTGGTAAAGGCGAAATGGTAAGCTGTCCCCACTCCTCAGCCTTATCTCATCCACACATTACTGGCTTCTTTTGCATTTTGCATGACAATAGATTTGTGATATTTAAGTGAGATATTCATAAAAGAACATTCAAGTTCGGCTAATATAGTGTCTTTGGTTTGTTCTTAGGGTCCCGCTGGCATTCCTGGAGCTCCTGGACTGATGGGAGCCCGGGGTCCTCCAGGACCAGCCGGTGCTAATGGTGCTCCTGGACTGCGAGGTGGTGCAGTAAGTTGCCTTGTTTTTTCTCTGTTGACTGAAAGGTATAGTTTAATTCCATCAACAAAAAATTAATAGCAAAATTTTGCTCCTGTTCAGTTGAATTTATATTGACTTCACTCTTGTCTTATAACTTATAACTGAATTATGTGTTACTGGTGATGATTTGTTAGTCGAATCCTCCCTGTGTTTCAACCAAGACTTTGTTATACTTTAGGGTGAGCCTGGTAAGAATGGTGCCAAAGGAGAGCCCGGACCACGTGGTGAACGCGTAAGTTTTACTGCAACAGATCTGGTTATTTCTTGAAAAAATGCAACATAATTAGAAAGTAAACAGGTAAAAACTTTGAACTAAATTCAGTCATAATTTCTTTATTTTACCATCTTTTTTTTTTTTCAGGGTGAGGCTGGTATTCCAGGTGTTCCAGGAGCTAAAGGCGAAGATGGCAAGGATGGATCACCTGGAGAACCTGGTGCAAATGGGCTTCCAGGAGCTGCAGGAGAAAGGGTACGTTTTCCATGGGGCATCTAAAAGAAAAGCAGCATCACTGTCATCTAAATAAAACTACCTTCAGGGTGAGACAGCCAATTTTTCTTAAGTTGAGTGTTCAGTGAAAATATTGTTTAAAGCATTCTATGACATAAAAATATTTGCCACTCAAGAATTATGAAAAAGAATTGAAATCCTTTGGACTGAAATACTTGTCTTTCATTATTTTCAGGGTGCCCCTGGGTTCCGAGGACCTGCTGGACCAAATGGCATCCCAGGAGAAAAGGTAGATAACTTTAGTTTCTATGTTCCTAAATGCTAGCACCACAAATGGGCAGTTCTTGTATACAATTTCTCATTCATGAAAACCTAAATATCTGAAGAATATATATTAGAGTTAAGAAAAATTCCTAATATAATGCATCCTCTGTTCAACAACTTTCCTGGCTTTGTAACTAAAGCCACTTACTTACCCTCTATGAGAATCCTTTACTTATCTGTTAATTGGAAAGCATTTATCTGAGCATCGTTGCAAGAGTACAGTAAACTAAAATGCCTGAAAAGTCTTTGAAAACTCTAAGGTTACATCAAATATGATTTCATAGCATTAAGATATTTGATTTTAGCTGCACATAATTATATTTTTAAGCACAGTGAATACTGTTTTATTAAGCATGTGATGTTCACAAAGTTGCTTTAAAATTTTTTCAATATGGCAATCCAAGCTAAGATAACTGATTTTATGTATAAATGTTTCAGCAACACACGAACCCTTTTTAAAAGTTCAAATGACGTCCTCTCTTTGTAACCAAAATATTGTTGCTATCTAGGTTAGTGAAGGCTATTTTAATTTTTTTAAAATTTCTTTCACTACTTAGGGTCCTGCTGGAGAGCGTGGTGCTCCAGGCCCTGCAGGGCCCAGAGGAGCTGCTGGAGAACCTGGCAGAGATGGCGTCCCTGGAGGTCCAGGAATGAGGGTACAGAGAAACATTTGTTTGAATGACACTTTAATTTAGACAGAAGAAAGGCAAGACAAATGAAGACAGATCAAAAGCAACTTAAATCAATCAGATTACATATTTTGTAAGGCACCAAACAAAACAAAATTCTTTTAAGTAAACTTAAGCCGAGATAGTTCAAGGAGAAGAGAAGATAGAACACTTGCCTTAGATACTTTATAGACAGGAAAAAAGATGTGCAAATCTGAGGCTTCACATGTAAGTGAAAATATCAAAATCATACAAATAGTGTATGTAGTAATTTTTTATTATTTCATTTTAAATCACCTAACAACTGACTTCTTTACTTCAGGGCATGCCCGGAAGTCCAGGAGGACCAGGAAGTGATGGGAAACCAGGGCCTCCCGTATGTACATTTTTAAAATCTCATTTTAAAAGGCCAGTTAAAATGGAATGTATATGTTGGCCTATCCTTGAGTGTGTGTGTGTGTGTGTGTGTATATATATATATGTATATGTATATCTATATATATACACACACACACACACACACACATACTATATATATAGCATGCTTTAATCTTCTCTTTATCAAACCTTTATTAATGTAATTTTTTCTTATTAGGGAAGTCAAGGAGAAAGTGGTCGACCAGGTCCTCCTGGGCCATCTGGTCCCCGAGGTCAGCCTGGTGTCATGGGCTTCCCCGGTCCTAAAGGAAATGATGTGAGTTCCTTCATTAATTTCTTCAATAAATATTTGACTGGAAGGCTTTTATTTTCCATATGGAGTAAAGAAATGGTCAAAACTCAGTCTCCTCTTCAAAGCATGGAGGAGTATATGAAAATCAAATTGCATGTAGGAAGGGAGCTAAATATATAATTGGTTATGGTTGTATGTGTGTGTATGGAGCAGGCAGATAAAAAATATGAAACAGGCTGGGTGCGCTGGCTCACGCCTGTAATCCCAGCACTCTGGGAGGCCAAGGCAGGCAGATCACCTGAGGTCAGGAGTTCTAGGCCAGCCTTGCCAACATGGTGAAACCCTGTCTCCACTAAAAATACAAAAATTAGCCAGGCATGGTGGCATGTGCCTGTAATCCTAGCTACCCAGGAGGCTGAGGCAAGAGAATCACTAGAACCCGGGGGGCAGAGGCTACAGTGAGCCAAGATTGCGCCACTGCACTCCAGCCTGGGCGACAGAGCAAGACTCAGTCTCAAAAATATGTATGTGTGTGTGTGTATATATATATATGAGACATATATATATGAGACATATATATATGAGACATATATATATGAGACATATATATATGAGACATATATATATGAGACAATAATATGATTAGTTATTGCCCTTTGAGGATTAGTAAATACCGACCACTTCTTCTTTAGGGTGCTCCTGGTAAGAATGGAGAACGAGGTGGCCCTGGAGGACCTGGCCCTCAGGTACGTAGCTTTCCTCAATTTATTTCTAGCCTTCTAATAGATGCGTTCATCTCCAACCTTCTGACTTCTCTCTGTAATCTGTATTATTTCTACTTCCCTAACTGTTCTTGTTTTTAGGGTCCTCCTGGAAAGAATGGTGAAACTGGACCTCAGGGACCCCCAGGGCCTACTGTAAGTTCACTCATATAAAATTGGAGATGAAAATAGGGTGGAGGTGGGGCAGGAAGAATGCTTCAAAAATTACATAATCTCTGACACCATGTTGTTACAGTTTACCAAAGCAATGATGAAACTTGCTGACCTAGTTATCTAGCTAAATGCTAGCATTGAGTTTAGAGTGTACATGTGTGCTTTGGGTCCAGGTCCTCCCTTTTCTTCACATCACTACTTTTATAATTAAGCAACAGGCCTGTTGAAATGGATACTGTAGACTAAATATAAAAGGATGTTTACAACAGAGTGTATCATTATACTTTTCTAGGGGCCTGGTGGTGACAAAGGAGACACAGGACCCCCTGGTCCACAAGGATTACAAGTAAGAACTTGTTATTTAAATGTCACGGCATATCTGACTGTCAAATTTTTTTGTGTCCCTAATAGATTATAATTTATCTGAAGCTTAACTTGTGATTCTGTCTTTCATCTGGAAATAAAATTTTAGGCAATGTTAATAGGTAGGCATATCTTCCATGTCCGTTCCAGAGCACATTAATAAGTTATTTAAAAGAATTAATGAAACTCAAATAATTCTATTTGGTTACACTTATTTTTATTATAACATAAATCCATATAGCCAAGTCTATCCTGCCATGCTGGTCAATACATTTTTACGTGTAGCAATTGAAAGAACAGAGAGAGATGAAAATGGGTTTGTAAAATATGATTATCACGTATGTGTCACTGGATTTTGAGTGGCACAACGTTTCTACCCCTACAAGACCACTGGAACTTTTTTTTAATATCTTGCAGAAACATGTGTACATATGAGAAGCTTTTCTATAAGCCATGTTTGAGGTAATTACCTAATACAAATATGATTCTTTCTAGGGCTTGCCTGGTACAGGTGGTCCTCCAGGAGAAAATGGAAAACCTGGGGAACCAGTAAGTTACGTTTCATTATTCAAAACTCAGAAACAAAAAGAATACACACTGTTTGTTTGTCAACTATTAACTTCTTAATTTTCTTATGCCATGATATTTGAGATTTAACATTTAGTTTTGAAATATTATCAAAACAAAGACAAATTATTTAAAAGATAACTATTATATAGAGTTTGAATTTTACCATAAAATAGAGAGTTCATAGTTTCAAGATTTGAAAAATTATACAGTATGCCAACATGACAAATGTGTATTTTGCTTATATTTACATATTTGCTTATATTTACATATTTGCTTATATTTACATAAAATGCACTCTGATATGGGCCTAATCATATAATGCCAATCTCCCAGGGTCCAAAGGGTGATGCCGGTGCACCTGGAGCTCCAGGAGGCAAGGTAGTATTTCAATTTATTCTCTACCTTCTTCAGCAGGTTATAGAGCAATTGATTAGTAGTATATTTTTAGTATATCAAGCCAAAATACTCTTTCTTTAAAAGAGCATCATTGCAAATGTTTGGTAAGTACACTTAGAGAAACTCAAGACACTTTCAATACATTAAATTTGCTTTAATCTGGAAGGTCCAATTCTCTGACATTCATAATCACTACAGAATCAAATACGGGCTTAAAATTTCAAACGGAAAAATATTGCCAATATGTTGATTCTATGTAGGAAAACTGTTTTGGTAAAAAGAACTTTAAAATGTTGCTCTTGTGAATAAAATAATAAGTATTTCAATGACAGCTCACACTTAACCAGACTAAGTATCCAAGTTTTATTTTAGACACTCTTTTAAGCTTCTAGTTCCCACCCAGCTGTTCAACTATTTTTAAGTATACAAATTTCTAGATTGTTCACAATATAATAACCTAGTGGCCTGATTCAAAATGATGCAAGTTAAGGTGCTTTGTTTTTAGCTTTGGGTTGTCTAATATGGTTATTTACATATTTTTGTCACAGGGTGATGCTGGTGCCCCTGGTGAACGTGGACCTCCTGGATTGGCAGGGGCCCCAGGACTTAGAGGTGGAGCTGGTCCCCCTGGTCCCGAAGGAGGAAAGGTAACTCCACAGCATTCCATTCACCTAGGTTTAAAAAATGCATTTGATTTCCTTCTGATCATTTATTATTTCTCACTTATTTTCAGGGTGCTGCTGGTCCTCCTGGGCCACCTGGTGCTGCTGGTACTCCTGGTCTGCAAGGAATGCCTGGAGAAAGAGGAGGTCTTGGAAGTCCTGGTCCAAAGGGTGACAAGGTGTTGACTTGTTTTCTCTTAATTGTTCAATAAATCAGTCATTGTAGGTTTTAAAAAAAGCAACACTCCTGGAAAGTAATCGACTGTATTTTCAAAATTAATGTTATCATTTTATAGTAAGTGAAATTTAAGATGGATTCCTAAAGCAACAATGAATTAGAACACCCAATATATATCCCTACAAATCCTGAGAGTTACTCCTCTTCTTGGCTGATTTTCACTGAAGATACTTTGAATCTGATGACATTGGCTTTTATTTGACAGGGTGAACCAGGCGGTCCAGGTGCTGATGGTGTCCCAGGGAAAGATGGCCCAAGGGTGAGTATTCCCAGTGAGGAGAAGCAGGCCTTATCTATATGTCATATGGGACAGTCCTGCACTTCAACTTTAATTTTTTCCAAAAACTACTCAAGAGAAATTAGATATTTTACCACCTAAAGACCCGAATGACTTGATTTATAATGAAATTTGTGGTCTATATCTATGGCTACTTGATAGATCTACAGTGACTAAAGAATGAAAAAGCCTCAAGAGTACGATAAAGGTCACAAACTAGCATTTGTGAGTCACTAAAATCTGAGATAATCACTGAAATTTAGGATAATCAATGCTGCTCATTAAGAAACTAAAAGTCATCAAAATTCAATATAGTAAGTACTCCTCATTAATAGACTTAATATTTAAAAATTGTATAGTATTTAGCAACAAAAAGGAATGAACAATTGATGCTGTACACACAGCAAATTATACAAACCTCAAGGACAACATACTCAGTGAAGAAAATTCAGTCACCAAGGGATACATACTGCATGATTCCATTCCTACAATATTTGCAAAATAACTTCCTTGTAGAGATGTAGAACAGATTAGTGGTTGCTAGCAGTTAAGAATGAGAAAGAGAGAGATGGATGTGGCTATGGAGACATGACACAAGGGAGTCTTATGGTGATTGCACATTTGAGTATCTTGATTGAGGTGGTAGTCAGGCACATCTACACATGGGATAAAATTCTATAGAGCTACATATACACACACATAAATGAGTGTGTGTATCACTGGTGAAATCTGAACATGCTCTATGGATGGTATCAATGTCAATTTCCTAGTTTTGATATTATATTATAGTTGTGTAAGATGTTAACATTAGGGGACGCTGGGAGAAAAGTGCACAGAATTTCCCTGTATATTCCTTTGCAGCATCCTATGAATCTATAATTCAAACTAAAAGTCAAAAACAAAACAAAAAACATCTCCTAAATATGATTATAATTAAGTCTTTTAATAAATTTATATAATAGTTGCCTTAAAGAAATTCATAAATGCTTCGCTTTTGACAGACTAAGTAGATAAGCCGTCATTCAGGTAAAAAGAGTGCTCAATACTTCAGTTTTGTAATATAAGTAAAACTACTATTTGAAAATTTCAAGTTGAAAAATTTAATATGTACAATGAGACTTTGAGAAAACATTTAAATTATCAAGCAATTGAATAAAGAAATGTACTTTAATTTAAAAAGACATTACTGTAAGATCTTACATGACATCCTATTTATCTTCTACAATGGAGATAAAGATAAATGAATCAATAAACTATTGCTGAATCCTATTTTCTCCCAGAGTTATCCCCAAAGAGGCTTGTGTTTACTGAGCTCTGCAGTATTTACACATTGAGAGAAAAGCATAGCATTCAAGCCATAAAAATTTTTAAAAAGTATGTTATCTAGTTTATTAGGTATCTATGTCTATATACTTTCTGTTTGATTAATGCAAAAAACGATATTTGTATCTTCAAAATTAAAAAATATTTTTATTTCCTCTAGGGTCCTACTGGTCCTATTGGTCCTCCTGGCCCAGCTGGCCAGCCTGGAGATAAGGTAACCCTTAATACTACCTGGATATAAAAAGAAAATGTCTCTCTCTTTTGGATGCAAGACAGTGACATGGCTTCTCTTTTTCCAGGGTGAAGGTGGTGCCCCCGGACTTCCAGGTATAGCTGGACCTCGTGGTAGCCCTGTAAGTGTTAAAGACATTCTCAACATACTTTTTAACCCCATACAGACAGTAGCTACTTATGCTTCCCTTTTTGGCAGTTTTGCCCTCAGTTCCCTGAGCCTCAATTTGGAGATATTATCTTCAAAAACCATATAAGGAACCATATAGCATGCAAGGGAATGTTAAATTTCTTAAATCTAACATTCACAGGAGACCATTTTAAATCAGGATTTCTTTCCTAAATAACTTTGGAAAAAATACATGAATTGCACAAGTAGTACATGTTTGTAATTAGGTATTTCTTAAGCCTATAGAATCTTTGCCTGAGACTCCTTCTAGATTTAAAAGTCTTGACCTTCAGGATTTAAGACTCTGGAAAGATATTTAGTAAATGGTTTTTAAAAATAAATCAGTTAATTTTTCAGTTAAGCTTCTACCATATATTGAAATACATAAATATCTATATATATAAATGTGTTAAATACTTTAAAATTCTCAAACTATTTTTCTTGCAAATAATATCACAGTAGGAGGCAGAAGGAATCAATGGTTCTGGTATTTTCCACTCCTAATTTTATTGAGAAGTGGCAAAGTCTTCAGAAGTTTATTGGCTACTCTGCACATTTCCTGCTTAAAGGAAAGAAAAGATAAGATGATAAGATGACATTTCCTGCCTAAAGGAGATGACGCACACTTCACTGTGACTAAGGAGGATATTTTTCTCTTCAGGGTGAGAGAGGTGAAACTGGCCCTCCAGGACCTGCTGGTTTCCCTGGTGCTCCTGTAAGTGTGAATATTTATACATACATGTCCCATAGCCCAGGATCTCTATCTTGCTGAAAAATTACAAAAGTATAGTCAAGTTTGGTTTCTAGTCTCATTTTAGCTGCTCATTCCCTATAGGATTATTGTACCCCTATTTTGTTTTACTTTACCCCTATTGTCGCTCTTTGAAAGATGGAAATAAAAACACCTGTCCTGCTTTTATGACTGGGTAATGAACTAAAGCAGTATCATGGATTTAAAAGCACTCTGAATTTTTGTAAATTCTTCCATTATAAGATGGTACTAATTAAAATTTTCTCTTAAATCCGGTCTTTCTCAAAAAAATTTACTGGTGCTGATTTTCAAATGTTTAATCCTTAGAGACACTTCCTCCCTCCCTAATGGCAAATAATGCACAGTTTATGCTTTCTTGGTCATGTTCTTTGATCATGAAAATATTTTGATTGGCTTCATTTTGTCATGTCTTCAGAAAGCCTTGTTTTTAAATTTTATTTCAACTCCTTCCATCTGAAGAATTCTATATTCTGAAGAGAAATAATAATAAGCCAATTGTATCATAAAGAGTGTCAGCTGAGAGATTGCTGTTGTTGTTGCATGTAGGGACAGAATGGTGAACCTGGTGGTAAAGGAGAAAGAGGGGCTCCGGGTGAGAAAGGTGAAGGAGGCCCTCCTGGAGTTGCAGGACCCCCTGGAGGTTCTGGACCTGCTGTAAGTTCCTTCCTCTTTCTCTGTCTATCTATCTATCATCTATCTATCTATTGATTATCTGTCTATCTCTCCCTCTCTCTCTCCCTCTCCCCCCTCTGTAAGTCCTAAGTGTTCTAATGGAAAAACATGGAGGTTTATCAGTAATTTAATATTTTATACTGAGATAGCATGTCATAGTGTCAAGAATATAATCTTTATATGAATATAGTCCAAGTATGAATCTCAGCACCAGCAATCTAAAAGTTATTTTAACCTCTTCATAGAGTTCCTGGTTTTCAAAGGCTTAATGCTTTTCCCAAATTTTGATTTTGGTGCTATTCTTACATAATTTCCTTCCATTTCATATAGGGTCCTCCTGGTCCCCAAGGTGTCAAAGGTGAACGTGGCAGTCCTGGTGGACCTGTAAGTATTGATCCTCTTAACTATTATTGAAAAGCATTAATTGATATCAACCTGTATAAAAGCTGCATTTGAGACACTAGTTCCATAAAGAGAATGTAAAAATTGTAATCGCTCATTCATACATGAGTTATATGTAAATTCCAAGGGGAAACACAAACCATAAATGACTTTCAGGTACAATGCAGATCATGCCACACATTATACTTTTTGTTTGTTGTACAGTTATTTGTTCTACTTTTGAAATTCAAAAATATATTACCATTTCACAGGGTGCTGCTGGCTTCCCTGGTGCTCGTGGTCTTCCTGGTCCTCCTGGTAGTAATGTAAGTAATTGTTAAAGTCTTTTCTCATCATACACTTCAGAAAGAGCATTCATGTATGTATAGGATGAGAAACTTACACATTGCTACTTATTTCTCTAGTAAGTCTCAAATAAAATTATTTGAAGTAAGTAAAAAAAGAAAGAAAAAATGCACTTTTTATTATAAATATTCAAATTTCAAACAATTATTTGTAGGGTAACCCAGGACCCCCAGGTCCCAGCGGTTCTCCAGGCAAGGATGGGCCCCCAGGTCCTGCGGGTAACACTGGTGCTCCTGGCAGCCCTGGAGTGTCTGGACCAAAAGGTGATGCTGGCCAACCAGGAGAGAAGGGATCGCCTGGTGCCCAGGGCCCACCAGTAAGTAACTTCATTTTTTTAAATTGATTCTACTATTTTGATTTTTATCACAAATCGATTAGAGAAAAACACTGTCACATAAAGATGAGCTAAGTCTTCATTATCTGTATTAGGGAGCTCCAGGCCCACTTGGGATTGCTGGGATCACTGGAGCACGGGGTCTTGCAGGACCACCAGGCATGCCAGGTCCTAGGGGAAGCCCTGGCCCTCAGGGTGTCAAGGTGAGTATAGTCATTTTCCACTACACTCTTCCTTCCTTTGGTAGCCTTCAGAGATCACTTAACCATATCAAGGATGAAAAGTTTTTCTGTCACTGGAGTAAATTAGCCAGGAGATAATTTTTTTTTATTTTTAGATTTTTAAAAGCATAAATTTTAATAAATGGCTCCAGAACACAAAACAGGGCATATCATAGACAAACCTTGAATATAAACACAAATAAATTAATATGATGAAAACAATATTGCCATCTCAAACACCTCTTTTAGGAAACTTGTGAATATTCTTCAATTTGTTGACTGTCAGTTTTGAAGGGGGAAATAGTGTTAGCTTATAGATCTTGGAAAGTCTTTCATTAATGCTAGTTATCCATCCATTCAAGTCATCTTGCACTCCTGACTCTCTTT